>NC_000002.12:21449149-21600664 GCF_000001405.40 Homo sapiens | reverse complement strand
AGGGAGCCATAGAGTACTCTGCTACTCTCAGGCAAGCCTCTGGGCAGGTCATGGTTTACCATGGTAAACTTTGCGTTTTGGACATAAGCTTATATGCTAGAGGCAGAGCCACCATGTTTCACTGTAATTCCAGAATGTCTTGTATCAGTTTCTAAATAATTTGAGCATGAATCTTGACTTCCCAAGAATATTATGAGTAACATGAGGGCAAACACTGTGTATCCCATTAACATCACCCTCAATCTACTTCTTCCAAGAAAAGAAGGTGGTGATAATAGACCATCCTCAGAGGTGTGTGAGATCCAAGCAGAAATTGGCCCCTGGAGCTTAGTGGTATACTCGGGTTTTCCTCCCCACCTTGCCTTTAGGTCCATTGGCCCAGAATGTAAGTGAGAGACCCAAAAGATGGAAACCTTGCACATGCTGTGAAAATCTGAAATATTGTTTTATAGTCACATTCTAAAGCTTCCTGACAGATGACACGTTACTGAGAACACTGTACAATGAACAACACACACACAACTTATGAGCATTATTGGAATCCTCTTTAGAAAACAAACAACAAAACTGCTCACAGCTTCCAGATCCTGCCTTATAAATCTCTTTTCAAAGCCTCTACATAGCTATGTCTACTGTCCAACTCATTCCTGTGTGTATTCTGGAAAAGTCGATTAGGAAATGCTTATTAAATATTTATGTCCTGCCTATTCAGGTGGCTCAACCCTGCCTTCAACAAGTTCACTGCTACCCAGGAAAGAAGGGAACCACCTGAAACGGTGTTCAGGCATCCAAGGACTGAAGGCTGAATTGTATGTTCTTGTAACAAGCACCCAAGAACTGAAAGCTGAATTGAATGTTACAGACCACAAGTGCCATAGGAATTCAAAGGGGAAATAGCACAGTACCAGAAGGAGTGACTGGGGAAGACCACAAGTGGCATAGGAATTCAAAGGGGAAATAGCACAGTACCAGAAGGAGTGACTGGGGAAGGCTTCCTGGAAGGGGTAACCTCTCAACTCATTGTAAAAAGGTGAACAGGATTGTGTACAGGCAAGTGACATTTACAATATTTTTCAATCATTAAACTGCACTGCTGACTACATGCAGCCGGTTGCTTCTATTTACTCAGGAAAAAAAAAAAAAAAAAGCTTAATTCAAAGCCAAAAGTTAATCATGGGCCCCAGGCCTGTGCCTGTAGAAAGCTGCCTCCACTTTCCCTGGGGTTTCCCAGGGTGCATAGTCTGGCAGAGGTCAGCAGGGAAACAGGGTGAACACTAATTAATTTTGTGTGCCAGTTTTATAACAAGATTATTTCCTAAAGTGCAGGCAAGATTTTATACACCGTGGAAGCATTTCTGGAGACAGAATTATATTTTTCACTTGTGTTGAAGTTTTATCATAATTTTGAAATCCATTTATATCAAAGAAAAGAAAAATTAACATTATTTAAGCACAGGGATAAAGTTACCCTTCAGGTGGTAAAGTCAGAGATCCTTGGCTTTAAAAAACAGGCAGAAAGAAGAATTTTGAAACAATAAAACCAGCTGGCTTTAAACACTTACTGAATTTCCTTAAAATTTTTTCAAATAACTATATCTTCTAGATACTTCATAGGATAAAGACAGAAAGAATTAACTAACATTGCAGCAGTGACTATGACCAGGATGGCCAGGAGATATGAGCTGGGGCCAGACTCATCAGCAATTTTTCCACTGACCAATGTTCATTGAAAGCCTGCTAAATGCCAGGTACTGTGAAGGACATCAAAATTCCCTAGAGCTGAGACACTGAAGTGAGGCAGAAAGTGCCAAGCACAAGTTGAGATTTTTGAGAGCTTTGTGTTTAGGAGTCAGTCCTCAGCAAGAAGAGGGGCCCATGATGAAAGAAGCTAATCAGAAACCATGAGAAATGTCAAAAAATCTGCATAGTAGACATTCCTAATTCACCTCAATGACCAAAGGAGGAAGAAAGGAAACTATTGGGACTTCAAACCATTGCTTTACTGGAATCATTTTAATACTTCAAGGTTAGGGCATTTCCAGCTACTTCCTGTGCTAGATACACTACATGACAATGATGTTTTTTTTTCTCATCATGCTGTGACCTTTCAATGTTTTCCATTAAGAAATGATTGGTTCATCAACTTTAGCAGTCTCAGGATACAAAATCGATCTGGAAAAATCACAAGCATTCCTATACACTAATAACAGACAAGCAGAGAGCCAAATCATGAGTGAACTCCCATTCACAATTGCTACAATGAAAATAAAATACCTAGGAATACAACTTACAAGGGATGTGAAGGACCTCTTCAAGGAGAACTACAAGCCACTGCTCAAGGAAATAAGAGAGGATGCAAAGAAATGGAAAAAAAAAATCCATGATCATGAATAGGAAGAATCAATATAGTGAAAATGGCCACACTGCCCAAGGTAATTTGTAGATTCAATGCTATTCCCACCAAGCTCCATTGACTTTCTTCACAGAACTAGAAAAAACTACTTTAATTTTCATATGGAACCAAAAAAGTGCCTGAATAGCCAAGACAATCCTAAGTGAAAAGAACAAAGCTGCAGGTATCATGACATCTGACTTCAAAATATACAACAAGGTTACAATAACAAAAACGGCAAGGTACTGGTACCAAAACAGACACATTGACCAATGTAACAGAATAGAGGCCTCAGGAATAACACCACACATCTAAAATCATCTGATCTTCGACAAACCTGACAAAAACAAGCAATGGGGAAAGGACTCCCTATTTAATAAATGGTGCTGGGAAAACTGGCTGACCACATACAGAAAACAAAAATTGAACCCCTTCTTTATACCTTATACAAAAATTAACTCAAAATAAACTAAAGATTTAAACATAAAACCTAAAAGCATAAAAACTCTAGAATAAAACCTAGGCAATACCATTCCGGGCATAGGCATGGGCAAAGACTTTATAGCTAAAACACCAAAAGCAATTGCAACAAAAGCCAAAATTGACAAATGGGATCCAATTAAATGAAAGAGCTTCTGCACAGCAATAGAAACTATCATCAGAGTGAACAGGCAACCTATAGAATGGGACAAAATTTTTGCAATCTATCCATCTGACAAAGGTCTAACATCCAGAATCTACAAGGAACTTAAACGAATTTACATTTACAAGAAAAAAAAAATAAAAAAGTGGGTGAAGGATATGAACAGACACTTCTCAAAAGAAGACATTTATGTAGCCAACAAACATATGAAAAAATGCTCATCATCACTGGTCACTAGAGAAATGCAAATCAAAACCACAATGAGATACCATCTCATGCCAGTTAGAATGGGGATCATTAAAAAGTCTGGAAACAGGCCGGGCATGTGGCTCACACCTGTAATCCCAGCACTTTGGGAGGCCGAGGCGGGTGGATCACAAGGTCAGGAGATCAAGACCATCATGGCTAACACGGTGAAACCCCATCTCTACTAAAAATACAAAAAAATTAACTGGGTGTGGTGGCGGGCTCCTGTAGTCCCAGCTACTCAGGATGCTGAGGCAGGAGAATGGCATGAACCCGGGAGGCAGAGCTTGAGGTAAGCCAAGATCACACCACTGCACTCCAGCCTGGGTGACAGAGTGAGACTCCATCTCAAAAAAAAAAAAAAAAGTCTGGAAACAACGGATGCTGGCAAGGATGCAGAGAAATAGGAAGACTTTTACACTGTTTGTGGGAGTGTAAATTAGTTCAACCATTGTGGAAGACAGTGTGGTGATTCCTCAAGTATCTAGAACCAGAAATACCATTTGACCCAGCAATCCCATTACTAGATATATACACAAACGATTATAAATTATTCTACTAAAAAGACACATGCACACATATGTTTATTGCAGCACTATTTACAATAGCAAAGACTTGGAACCAACCCAAATGCCCATCAATTACAGACTGGATAAAGAAAATGTGGCACATATACACCTGGAATACTATGCAGCCATAAAAAAGGATGAGTTCATGTCCTTTGCAGGGACATGGATGAAGCTGGAAACCATCATCCTCAGCAAACTATCACAGGAACAGAAAACCAAACACCACATGTTCTCACTCATAGGTGGGAGTTGAACCATGAGAACACATGGACACAGGCTGGGGAACATCACATACTGGGGCCTGTTGGTGCATGGGGGGCAAGAGGAGGGAGAGCATTAGGACAAATACCTAATGTAAGTGGGGCTTAAAGCCTAGATGATGGGTTGATAGATGCAGCAAACCACCATTGCACATGTATACCTATGTAACAAACCTCCATGTTCAGTACTTGTATCCCAGAACTTAAATAAAATAAAAAATAAAGGAATAAAGAAATGATTGGTTCATAAAATACATAGACAGATATAGTTATAGGCATATACATATCTGTTTGTGCATATTTGTATACATATGTATGTGTGTATATAAGTGTGTGTGTCTATTAGTCCATTCTCATTCTGCTAATAAAGACAAACCCAAGACTGGGGAAAGAAAGAGTTTTAATTGATTCACAGTTCAGCATAGCTGGGGATGCCTCACAAACTTAACATCATGGTGGAAGGGAAAGCAAACATGTCCTTCTTCACATGGCAGCAGGAGAGAGAAGTGCCAAGCAAAAGGGGGAAAAGCCCCTTATAAAACCATCAGATCCCATGAGAACTCATTATCACGAGAACAGCATACGTATAACCACTCCCATAATTCAATTACCTCCCACTGGGTCCTTCCTATGTCACATGGGGATTATGGGAACTACAATTCAAGATGAGATTTGATGGGGACACAGCCAAATGATATCTGTGTGTGTGTGTGTGTGTGTGTGTGTGTGTATTCATATACATATCCATGTATAGATATATATTTATCTATCCGTCTATCTGTCTAGTGGGTTAACAAATATTTGCATTTATTTTTAAAAGTCATAGTACAGAGCCACAAAGGTTATTTAAATAGATGAAAGGGAGGTCTGAAAAGTAGTAATGAAAATGAAATAAATTTCATTTTCTCTTTTTTCAGTTATAATTATCTATAATTATAATAATGCATAAAATTAGTTTTATATTATATTATCTATAATTATCTATAGCTTAGAAAACAAAAGCTATATTGGATAGTCATTTTCCTCCTAAGACTGTCACCGTGGTTTAAACAATTTCAGCAAAGTTAACGAAAGGAAAACAAAGGGCTACAGTTCCACCCCAAAAACGTTGTTTCTGAGGGGTGGAGCATGGAGCGGGGAATGGGGAGCCAGGGCAGGGTATGAAGCACAGGGTTTAAAATTCACGTGAGAATGTCTGCTTGTTGTGGCTCAAGATTTTCATCACACTGGAATGGGCCGAGAAAACTATAGAGAAGGTGACCAAGCACATTTCCAAAGAACTGAGGCTAGCTCTGAGAGTTCCTCAACACAGGTCCCAGTTCATAGCAACGTCCAGGTGTTGTTCTGGTGCTCACATTTCAGGTGTGGCACTGGAGCCAGCAACTGTGACGGTGTCACTGAGTCTTCCTCAACTGCCTGTTAGTAAAGGCTGTGTCCCCGTTGCCTGCCAGGCATTGTAGCACAGATGACAACTGTGCATACGGCTTGCTTGAGGAGCAGGGAGAGGTCCCTAAGCTCCTCTGTTTGGGAAAACTTGAAGCACACCCTCCATTTTTCTTGCTGACCAACGGGAGGGAGGCCCAGGATTCCAATCTCACTAGTCTCTTCTTTAACAAGTGCAAAGAAAACCGAAAACAATGAAATTAAATGCTGTTGATTTCCCTCAGAATGGTACAAGAGTAGCAATTGTTAATTTTTTAAAAAGGCAAAGAAATCTAACTCCATTATCTAATTTTCCAATTGGAGATAATAATTTTTTTTTCCTCACATTGTTTGGATAACAATTACTCTAATTTAATATTACTTCGTCACCCAAAACAAGTGAAAGGTAAAACAGAAAATCCAAAATCAAGATGTAAACGCTGGAGAAATTCTGAGATGCAACGTTTGTTGGGAAAAGATATTCGCTAGTGAATTCATAAGCTCTAATTCGAAGGAAGCCTCCCTGATGAGGATGTCCTGGTAATAGTGGTCCCTGCATTACTGTCACACATAATGAACAATTGTGTTCACTGAAGAGGCTCTCCTCCCTGTTTAAGGAATGACCACTGACTTTTCAACAGATTCATGAAAATCTTGACTCTCATGAGACCATCAAATGCTGCAAAAGTCAAATGCATATTTTAGCCTGGAAAATAATCAAAAAGACTTAAATTTGGACTCTGATCCTAGAAGAAAATGAACAGCAAATGCAAAGAGATCCTTTGTCTTTTCACCCACCCATGTCACTAGATGTGTAGTACGGTGGCAAGGGATGCTGTGATATGGGGAGAAATGATGTGGAGTAACATAGCGTAGCACAGTGCAAACCTAGTGAAAACTATATGGAACCATATCTACAATATCCCAAACCCACATTGTTGCAATATGCATTGTTTATGAAGATTCATCTTTATCGCTCCTTAACTCACTCATTTGACTTGTATTGATATGCATAATTATTGTTCACATCATTCAATAAACTTTCAGTATGGACCAAAACTAACACATTCACATAGATTCCATTCCAATGTCTGTACCTTTGCGGTGATCAAAAAACAATTGACAGCTACTATCTGCTCCAGACTCCAAGACAGATACTAAACCGACCCATTAGTAATGGTTTCTTGCTTGAGCATATCTGAAGTCCTAGGAAAACCCAAGAAATTAGTTTCCATCTGATGTGGTGTTACCATGTAGCCCTTGCAGAAGGCAGATGAGAGGAGCTCAAGAGCCTGGCCCTACCTTGGTGTTCATCATGATTAACAAGGCTGCAGCCTTCGAGTCTCCTCAAGAGGTCAACAAATATTTGTTGACTAACAGATAAAAGGAACACAAAAAACAAAAACAGTGACAAAGAGAGGGTGTCCCTTGAACTTAACAGTGTAGAAAAGAAGAAACAAAAACAGTGACAAAGATAGGGTGTCCCTTGAACTTAACAGTGTAGAAAAGAAAAAACAGAAACATACAACCTGTGTCAGCAGTGTGGAGATCACTATTATTACCAGGGCATCCTCTTCAGGGTGGCTTACTCTGAACTAGAGCTGATGAATTCACTAGCCAACATCTTTTCCCGACAAACGTCTCATCTCAGAGTTTCTCTACAGTTTATATTTTGATTTTGTATTCTGTTTTACCTTTGGCTTGTTTTGAGTGATGAAGTAATATTAAATTAGAGTAATTATAGCAAAATATTGCTTATATGAAGGGAGAAACTCAAGGCAATATTAAATTTGCTTCTTTGACAAGTGACAGTGTAGACATCCATAGAAATTCCCACTCATCCCCACATCCTGACATCATGCTGCACATCAATGGAATTGATCCATTAGATATTGCATCCATTAGATAATACTATCAATAGTGATTCATCCATAAGACCTCTATGATATTATCACGACATAATGCTTTCTGAACAGAGATATTGAGAAAAAATAGAATTGGGACCAAAGGCAGAACAATTTTCAACAGAAAACCTATAGACTCATAGAATATTTTCTAAGTTTTTGACTAGGATAGTGCTGCCACTTATAGGTTTTATCTGTGTGGTCAAGAGAACAGAAAAGACAATACAACCTACTCCACCATGCCCTGTCATTTCACCTAAAATAGGATGTGAGACGCCGCCTCTTCTCATAGAATTCACACAACTATAATTTTCAGATCTATTAAGGTGTTAGGCAAGCCCTCTCATATACTAGAGTAACACATCCCATTCTGGACACTAAGATGGAAAAAATTAATGACAGCCTGTCTTAAGGTGTTGGACTGAAATATTTAAGGGTCTACCAATGTATCATATAAGGTACAATTGAAAACTGAGTGGACATTTAACTGGAGGAATAATACTGAGAGTTAACAATAATAATAATACTAAGAGTTAACAAAAAATGTATTAAAATATTTGAAAGTAACTTGCTAGAGGAGGAAACAGGCATATTGGATGGCTCTAAAGAGCCAAACAAAGTCCAACTGATAGACATCATAGGATGTAAATTCTTAGCTCCATAAAAGGGACCATTTTGACCATTGTGGGAAAGTTGTCAACACGCCATCATAGCAGTGCTCAAGTAAACACTGAGCACCCCCCTAAGGAGGATGTGCTGTTAGATGAAATGAACTTAAAGGTTTTTTTCAATGCAGCAGTTGCTGCCGTGAAATTCCCCCAGTTCCCCCACTTCTCACCAAAGGCCACCAAAAGGGGCAGGTCTTCTTATATAACTTCATCTCTAGTTCATTTTCTTTTCATTTTCCAAAACTGCCACTCTCATCACAGGGTGCAATAGCATACTGTCTTCTCATGCTTTCCTGCTCCCTTGAGGAATGTGTTCCAGTTTGGGTAATTACATTCTGCCAGCCTAAATTATCTCTGCAGTTTACATTGAGTAAGGCATTTTTCTTTAATATCCATCCTAAATTGTTGCTTAGTGTTTCTGTGTACCAGTAAATATTACATACGTGCCAAGGTAATAGTCAGATGCTTGGAAACAGCCCACCCTATTTATAGCAGAGCAAGGAAGGATTAAAACTAATTAAAATTTACTTTGATTATTCATGTTCCTTCTGCATGTTTGGCCCTTGATGCTGGCAGTTAAGGGAAATTGGCTTCATATAACCTGCTCTTATTTTCCTGTGTTTTGTGATTGTTTTTCAGCTCCCATACCTTTCCCATTCCTACTTCATTCAAAGGGCACTGCAAAATAGGTTTGTGAGTACAGGAGTGATAGGTCAATTTTGTCAAGGTTGAGTGAAAATGCTGAGGTTTGACCTGGACCTCTTTATCATGAAGATAATTTTTAAATACAGCTCCGTAACATTTGTCATAGTCATAACTGCTTGAGTCAGAGGCTATGTCCTTTTTAGTTTTTTTTTTCTTTCAGGTGTCTCACTCCTTATTAAGAGTATTTATTCTAGTTACTTTCATTGCTGACCTTGGAAGTTTATCGCAAATATTATTTCTCTTGTTTGCTTGCTCTTATTCTCACTCTTGCTTTTATACTGTTTCTCTCTCTGGTCTCTGACCTCATTTCTTTAATGGCCTCAGTACCTCATGGTAGCATTTTTTCCATCTATACATCGTTTTTTCCATCCATATTTTGCATTAGACACTGGGGTGCACAGATGCTTGTTTGGAGATTATCAGCATCGACGGACAGAGTCTGCACATGCTGGCACTTAGGGAGGCGTGCCACAGTTCATCACTTCTTGGCTCTTAGGTCCTAGAGAGCAGGGGCTGAGTCTGCTCATCCCTGTCTCCCAAGGCTTAACACAGCTCTAAACTAAACGAGTGTCCAGGAAATGCTTTTTAAACTGAAGTGAATTGAAGAAGTGAATTGGATTAGGGAAACTCTGAACATTAATATCCTAAACCTTTTTTAGAAATGTATTTGTCCAAGGTCCAGGAGCTCTTTTCCCTCATTTCTAAGCCCACCTTTCCTTTCCTCCTTCAAGATGGACCTTTATTTCTCTACCTCTCTCTTCTCCAAATATGCCTATTTCCAAAGCAGAGAAGCCTCCCTTATAGGAGTATTCTTTAATGTCCCTTTTAGATTTGGGTCATTTTCCTCTGCTAGATCAAAAGGGTCATTTCTTTTTTTCATAAATTCATCTTTTCATTTGGCAAATACTTATGGAAATACACTATGTGCCAGAATGGCACTGCTTTCAGGGACACGGGGATGCACTCATGAAACATACAGTCCAGAAAAGAAGACAAATATTAAGCAGATATTTATACAAATAAATATTTAGTTCTGCAGAGGAGAAAAATCAAATTGGAATAGAGTGTAATAAAGACAACAAAATCCCATGGTCATTACTTGAGGCTAAAGACAGCTATAACCAATCTTGGCTGTTGGGTTGAGAAATGATACTTCAAACCCTTCCTGTCCTCAGGAGTCCTCTCACTTCACAGACTGGGGAGCAGAAGAGAGGAAGGAATCATGGAGTAGGAATTAGGAGACCTCGGTTCTTGCTTAACCTTGCCGCAGATTCCATGCTGATGTTGGGAAAGCCCCTTTCTCTCTGGGCCTCAGATTCTCTACAAGTGGAGGGAATGGGATGGCATAATGTTGGCTGTGGTCCTTCAGGCTCTGACATTTCATGCTTCTCAGGGCAGATGCCTTCACTTACAGTGAACAGCAGGCATGTTTGACGGTGCTCCTATTTAGACCTAAAGTCGCTAATTAGGCAAAGAACACTACATACATTTTACTTAATATGAACTTTAGATAATTTTTGCTTTACAGTTTACCGTTTCCTCCATACAATTTCCTTATCTATTCTAAAACGGATACACAAATGGTTGCAAGAATTTGGGGGCTTACAATGGCTGTTTTGCAATTCAGACAAGTGATTAGAATATTCCCAGCACATACACTTAATCAAAACAAGCCCAATTAAGCTCACTACTCCAGATTCCAACTCATTAGCTTTCTGTTCCTACAATATAACAGATGTCATTGCTGCAGGCCCGGAGGTACAGACACATTTTTCAGCTAAGCACTTACAATGCAACCTAAGTTAGAGGAAGATTTAATTATTACTTTCATTGTCGTGGCTTCCTGTGGAAGCTCATTTTTCACTTAATAGCAATCTCTTTCTACCTAGTTGCCCACTGCCACCAAAATAATGTGTCTTTCTCCTAAAGTAGTAAGTTCATAAAATGTATCATTCCTATCCTCTCCTTTTTTGCCTGGTAAATTGATTCTGGTTGCTCCTGAACTTACCCAACCCTGCAGTTTTTATTAAGGGAACGGAATGAGGAAGAAATAGGATGCAATGATTCCCTCATCTTTTTTATTAATACTTGGGCTTGTTTATTGAATACTTTGCCATCCATACTCAGAGAAGGGTGCAGGTCTCTATTTTTTGCCCACTATACTTTGACAACATTGCATTATGACACTTAATTTACCTTGGCATTCCTTTTATGTGCTATTTCCTTCTCAAGACCATCAACTTTTCTAAGGCTGGGTCTTAGACTTATTTTTCTTTATACTCCCAGCTCCCATCACAGACTGGCACGTTAGATACTTCTTATGTTTTTTAAAGATGAAAGAAAAATAAATTAAAGAAGAAGTGAAAATCAAATTCTGATGTAGGTAACAAAACAAAAAAATGCTTTATGTGACACGGAAAGTTGATAACTGATTCTTATAAGTGGAATAGCTAGTAACTCTTGTATTTGTCCAAAAAGCGGATAGCTGTAAATCTCTGTCTTATACATTATTCACTGATTCAACCCATTTTTTCTAATCAGTATCAGCATTAGTTCACTAGGTCTTACATTCTTTTTTATTATTACCTATGTTCTTAATAATTGTGGAAATGCCATATTTGAGGGTTCTAATGCTCAGGGAAGTAATAAGTATTCTGGCATGTTATACATCCAAGCAACTCGCTGCGCGGCTCTCGCAGCCCAGGGGAAGAACTGTGTCAGGCTGAGCTTTCTTATCAAGGTAAATTTAACATCTTAGATGTTTCAGGATTGGGTTTTATTCATGGGTATGTCTCTTTCTCCCCCTCCTCTCGCTTTGTGTTTCTAGCTAAGCACTTATTCTCTGAAGAGACTCTAGGCAGTTTTCTTCCTGGAGATATTAAACAAGAAAGACTCCAACATGGTCACACCACATAGATGTATCTCATGCTTTTCTTTAGATGTGCAGGTGACTACGGGCCTAGAATTCATATTCTAGTTAGGGGGTGTTCATCAGACATGTACCATACATACACATACATGCACACACAATGAAGTCATAAAAATATGGTTTGTGATTTCTAAAACTGACAAAAACTTGTACATGTAAATGAGTGCCTTTCTTTTCTATAGAGCTTTTTCTGGTGAGTGGAAAATCCTTCCCAAAATACTGACATGGGTCAAAATTTTCTAGAGTCTCCTTTAGGAAATTTGTGAAGAGTTATGTGTTAGTCTGCTGAGGCTGCCATAAGAAAATACCACAGGTTGGGCATCTTCTTTTTTTGAGATGGAGTCTCGCTTAGTCACCCAGGCTGGAGTGCTATGGTGCGATCTCGGCTCACTGCAAGCTCCACCCACCAGGTTCATGCCATTCTCCTGCCTCAGCCTCCCGAGTAGCTGGGACTACAGGCTCCCGCCACCATGCCCGGCTAATTTTTTTTGTATTTTTAGTAGAGACAGGATTTCGCCGTGTTAGCCAGGATGGTCTCGATCTCCTGGCCTTGTGATCTGCCCATCTCGGCCTCCCAAAGTGCTGGGATTTCAGGCATGAGCCACCGCGCCCAGCCAGGTTGGGCATCTTAATAGAACTTTATTTCTCCCACTTCTGGAGGCTGGGAAGTCCAAGATCAAGATGTTGGCCAAGTCAGTTTCTGGGGAGGCCTCTCTTCCAGGTTGCAGGTAGCTGTCGTCTCAATATGTGCCCACAGGATCTCTTCTTTAAGCACCAGGTCTAAGGAGAGAGCCACAGAGCTCAAGGGCAGCAATTCTAAGGGACCAGGGACCAATCTTTATGACCACATTTAACCTCAATTACCTCTCTAAAGTCCTTACTGCCAATATGATCACTTTAGGGTTTGGGGCTTCAACACATGAATTCTGGGGAGACACAAACATTCACTTCATAACAATTCAGTTATTCAAATATTGTGTAAATTTTCTAATGGATTGCCTTGAAATCAGAGACCTTGTGTTTCACGGGGGAGAAGCATTGCTTGTTCTCTTTATTTACCCTTTCTTATCTGACTTGGCTTCAAATGATCTTTGTAGTTTCTAACATTGAAATTCACCATTAACATGTAAAAAAAGTCACTACAGGAAAAACTTAAATAATTTGCTACAATCTGAAGACCATTTTCAAGGAGAAATTCAACATTTATTTTGAATGATTACAGTGTTATTGGAATGAAGGCATAGTCTTCTAGGTTGACTTTTACATAGGGAAAAGCATTTAATAAGGTTGAGAACGTGGAATATATTCATTAAGGCAGTCAGTGGCCTATATGCATAGTAACACCGTGTGGTTATAACACGTCGACCACAGCCTGCATTAAGCATCACATATGTAAGAGGAGCAGAGAATGGTGAAGTTAAATATTAGGTTGGTGCAAAACTAATTGCGGTTTTTGCCATTACAAGTAATACTATGCTTCTATTTCTAAATTCCTTGAAAGTAGGACAATATTTATATTGTTCATGACTGTATCTCCAGGACGTAGAATAATGCTAAGCATAGAGTAAGCACTTAATAAGTGCTTATTGAATTGAATAAAGTCAGGAGAATCAGGTTCTGTTAAACCTGATGTATCTTTATTATAAAGCAAAGATTGGCAAACTATGGCCCTCAGGTCAAATCTGGCCTACCATTTGTTTTTGTATGACCTGTGAGCTAAGAATGATTCTTACATTTTTAAAAGGTTGGGAAAAAAATCAAAAGAATAATAAAATTTTGTGCCTCTTGAAAGTTATATAAAATTCAAATTTTAGTGTGCTTTATTGGCACACAGTATCAATAAGTCAATTTTATGAACAAATCCAGAAACAAAGAAAAGATTTTCTTGCAAAGGATTATTGCAAGGGAGGGAGGAGAGGGAAAGATTGTAATTGAGAGAGGGAGACGGAGACAACTGAAATGGAAAGTAGGCTTTGACCGTAGGATCAGCAAGTCTTTTCTGGAGGGGAACGGGCAAGGCTGAAAAAAACCGAGTGTGGGGAGGTGAGTTAAAAGGGTGGTATGATCAGAGAGTAGATGAGATAGTAGAATGTTTTATGCTGAGGCCAGCCTATTTTCAGGGAGCAATCCTTACGGAGGGCTGTGTAATGCCTAAGGTTGAAGAAGGGCGAAAGTTCAGGGGCTTAGGAGAAAGGAGAGAAACAACCAAAGATTGGTTAAAAGCATTTTATTCCCATTCTTCAGTAGTAGCAGAACAGTTCAGCTAATTATTTATGAGGCAAGAAAAAAAATGAAAATGTGGACGGTTTATGCCTGGCCTTGTCAGGAGAAAAAAGTAAGGAATCATGGGTTTTATCTGAGTCTTATATATGAATTAGGGTGGTTTTTGCAGTAAGCCGTGTCCCAAAACAAAGGGTAGGGGAGTCCTTAACCTTCTGTTTTCCAGGATCACAGAGCTCAGGGGGAAATTAAATATTTTCAGTAGCCATGTCCATCATTTCTGTATTGTCTATAACTGTTTCCACACCACAAAGGTTAAGTTGAGTAGTTGTCACAGAAACTGTACGGCCTGCTACAATAAAAATATTTCCTGTCACCCGATTAGGAGATGCAAGTGTGCTGACTCCTAATATATTAGGAGAGCAAGTCTCTTTATATTAGGAGAGCAAGTGTGCTGACTCCTAATATAAAGGTGTTAGGAGGAAAAATTATGGCTGAATTAGTAGAAATTATGAATGATGTAATATACTGAAAGAAATGTAACTTAGCAAATTCTTACTCAACCTCCCAGGCTTCAGGGAAGTCTCCAGGAAGACATTATCCCCTGACTCCTGCCACAGGCTGGCTGGTGCCTCCTCCTGCACCTGAGCCTCCCTCCCAGAATTCACTTACTGTACTCTCAATGTCTCTCTCCTCCCCTAGACACTTGATTTCTGAGGAAAGAACAACTTTGCCTTCTTTGAATTCTTAACACCTAGAACAGTACCTGGAAAGCTGGAGAATGAAGGAAACAACACATGAACAAACAAACTTTGATATTCAAAATCATCACTAACAAAGTACTGTCAAAGACAAGCTTGACTCTAGGGAGAAGGTAAGAGCAATCTTTAATCACACCGTGCCTATGCAAATAGCTGCTGTTAGAGTGCAGAGAAGCACTTTGTTCTCTTTAGTAGGTTAAATATGCCTCTCCACAAATGTGTTAACATCCTTCCTTTGCTTAGCAAATCCTTTTTTCATGAGCTGCTCAAAGGTAAACTTTATCCCCAGGTTGGATTATCATAACCTCCAAAACTGTGTGCATATATTAAGCTCTCTCCCATTTTAAAAAGGAATTACTCTTCAGCCCCCACATTCACCTCAAATATCAACTAACTTTTCTCTTCCCTTTCACAGTCAAACATTTTTAACAAGTCATTTACATTCTGTCACTGAAAATTTACTTCTACCACTAATAACTTTCTTGATACCAAGTCTCCTTGGGGCTCCTTCTCTGCCCAACCTGTAAATGTTAGTGTTTTTCCAAGCTTCTGCCTAGGTTCTCTTCCAGCGCTATATGTTTTTGAGTGAGTTCATTCACTTTCATACCTTCTGTAGGCTCATCATAGACAAATCAATGCTTCCAAATCTAACATCAATGGTGAGTTCCAGCATTATAATTATGCATTATCTGCTAGACAAAGTTAGTTGAATAGCCCACATACTTAACATCTCTTAAAGAAAACTTTTGCATTTGCCGAGGAGTGTTTTACTTCCAATTATGCGGTCAGTTTTAGAAAAAGTGTGATGTGGTGCTGAGAAGAATGTATATTCTGTTGATTTGGGGTGGAGAGTTCTGTAGATGTCTATTATTAGGTCTGCTTGGTCCAGAGCTGAGTTCAAGTCCTGAATATCCTTGTTAATTTTCTGTCTTGTTATCTGTCTAATATTGACAGTGGGTTAGTTATAGTCTCCCACAATTATTGTGTGGGGCTAAGTCTCTTTGTAGGTCTTTAAGAACTTGCTTTATGAATCTGGGTGCTCCTGTATTGGGTGCATATATATTTAGGACAGTTAGCTTTTCTTGTTGCATTGATCCCTTTACCAGTATGTAATGCCCTTCTTTGTCTTTTTTGATCTTTGTTGGTTTAAAATCTGTTTTATCAGAAGACTAGGATTGCAACCTCTGCTTTTTTTTTTTTTTTTTTTTTTTTGCTTTCCATTTGCTTGGTAAATATCCCTGCATCACTTTATTTATTTATTTATATTTTATTTATTATTGTTGTTATTATTTTGAGATGGAGTCTTGCTCTATCACCAGGCTGGAGAGCAGTGGTGCGATCTTGGCTCACTGCAACCTCTGACTCTCTGGTTCAAGTGATTCTCCTGCCTCAGCCTCCCAAGTAGCTGTGACTACAGGCACAGGCCACCACACCCAGCTAATTTTTGTATTTTTAGTAGAGATGGGGTTTCACCATGTTGACCAGGATGCCCTCCATCCCTTTATTTTGAGCCTATGTGTGTCTTTGCACATGAGATGGGTCTCCTGAATACAGCACACAAACGGGTCTTGAATCTTTATTCAATTTGCCAGTCTGTGCCTTTTAATTGGGACATTTAGCCCATTTTCATTTAAGGTTAATATTATTATGTGTGAATTTAATCCTGTCATTATGATGCTAGTTGGTTATTTTGCCCGTTAGTTGATGCAGCTTCTTCATAGTGTTGATGATCTTTATAATTTTGTATGTTTTTGCAGTGGCTGGTATCAGTTTTTCCTTTCCGTATTTAGTGCATCCCTCAGGAGGTCTTGTAAGGCGGGCCTGGTGGTGAAAACATCTTTCAACATTTGCTTGTCTGTAAAGGATTTTATTTCTTCTTCGCTTATGAATCTTAGTTTGACTGGATATGAAATTCTGGGTTGAAAATTCTTTTATTTAATAATGTTGAATATTGGCCCCCACTCTCTTCTGGCTTGTAGGGTTTCTGCAGAGACATCTGCTGTTAGTCTTATGGGCTTCCCTTTGTGGGTAGCCCGACCTTTCTCTCTGGCTGCCTTAACACTTTTTCCTTCATTTCAACCTTGGTGAATCTGATGATTAAGGGTCTCTTCAAGGAGAACTACAAACCACTGCTCAAGGAAATAAGAGAGGACACAAACAAATGGAAAAACATTCCATGATCATGGATAGGAAGAATCAATAAAGTGAAAATGGCCATACTGCCCCAAGTAATTTATAGATTCAATGCTATCCCCATCAAGCTACCATTGACTTTCATCACAGAATTAGGAAAAAACTACTTTAAATTTCATATGGAACCAAAAAAAGCCCATAGAGCCAAGGCAATCCTCAGCAAAACGAACAAAGCTGGAGGCATCATGCTACCTGACTTGAATCTACAAGGCTATAGTAACTAAAACAGCATGGTACTGGTACCAAAACAGAGATATAGACCAATGGAACAGAACAGAGACCTCAGAAATAAGACCACAAATCTACAACCATCTGATCTTTGATCTTTGACAAACCTGACAAAAACAAGCAATGGGGAAAGGATTCCCTATTTAATAAATGGTGTTGGGAAAACTGGCTAGCCATATGCAGAAAACTGAATCTGGACCCCTTCCTTATACCTTATACAAAAATTAACTCAAGATGGATGAAACACTTAAATATTAAGACTAAAACCATAAAAACCCTAGAAGAAAACCAAGGCAATACCATTCAGAACATAGGCATGGGCAAAGACTTCATGACTAAAACACCAAAAGCAATTGCAACAAAAGCCAAAATTGACAAATGGGATCTAACCAAACTAAAGAGCTTCTGCACAGCAAAATAAACTATCATCAGAGTAAACAGGCAACCTACAGAATGGGAGAAAATTTTTGCAATCTATCCATCTGACAAAGTGCTAATATCCAGAATCGACAAAGAACTTAAACAAATTTACAAAAAAAAAAACCACATCAAAAAATGGGTGAAGCATATGAACAGACACTTCTCAAAAGAAGACATTTATGTGGCCAAGAAACATGAAAAAAAGCTCATCATCATTGGTCATTAGAGAAATGCAAATCAAAACCACAATGAGATACCAACTCATACCAGTTAGAATGGTGATCATTAAAAAGTCAGGAAACAACAGATGCTGGAGAGGATGTGGGGGGATACGAACACTTTTACACTGTTTGTGGGAGTGTAAATTAGTTCAACCATTGTGGAAGACAGTGTGGTGATTCCTCAAGGATCTAGAACCAGAAAGACCATTTGACCCAGCAATCCCGTTACTGGGTATATAACCAAAGGGTTATAAATTATTCTACTAAAAAGACACATGCACACATATGTTTATTGTAGCACTATTTACAAAAGCAAAGACTTGGAACAAACCTAAATGCCCATCGATGATAGACTGGATAAAGGAAATGAAGCACATACACATCATGGAATAGTATGCAGCCATAGCCATAAAAAAGAATGAGTTCATGTCCTTTGCAGGGACATGGATGAAGCTGGAAACCATCATTCTCAGCAAACTAATATAGGAACAGAAAACCACATGGTCTCACTCATAAGTGAGAGTTGAACAATGAGAACACATGGACACAGGGAGGAGAACATCACACACCAGGGACTGTTGGGGCATGGGAGGTTAGGGGAGGAATAGCATTAGGAGAAATACCTAATGTAGATGATGAGTTGATGGGTGCAGCAAAACACCATGGCATGTGTATACCTATGTAACAAACCTGCACGTTCTGCACATGTATCGAAGAAGAAGAGGAAGAGGAAGAGGAAGAAGAAGAAGAAGAAGACCTTCCTTCCCAGATCCCAAGTCCCTCATATTGGATTTTCTATCCCAGATCACCATTATCTACCATGGTCTTGGGTTTATCCAGAAGGTCTGTCATATAATTAGTCCCCAATGCCTATTGATTTTGCTTCCTAAAGAGTTCCAAAGATCTTCATTTGTCACAATTGCACTGCTTTTATCCTGCTTCTCAGAAGAATACCTTCATCTGGTTTTATCCCCACAACCACCTATTAACTCATGTCCTAATCCTTAGTTTCACCCATCATAGATCACTCTTCCTTAATTCCAAAACACAGATTTCATGAGGGCATACAATGGTTTAAGAATACTTTAGAATTAGTTGAAACTCCTTTATGTGATTTTACACGAAATCCCTTTCCCTCCCACCCCCTCACTCACACTAACCATATGGAAAAATTTTGTTTTCTGAATATGTCTTTCTCTCTCTAGCCTCTAACCTCTTTTTTTTTTGTGAGCTGTTTCATCATTCCAGAATACCCTTTTCACACACAAACCCTACTCTTGTTCTCAGCCAGTTTCTGTTAATCATTCATGTCACAGCATAGACATTCCTTTTTCTAAGAAATTTTCTGGTATTGCCCCTTCCTCAACATCATTATTTCTTGGTTATGGGTATTCTTATTTCTCTCTTAGGACTCTGTATTTCTCCCTTTACAGCATAAATCATGTTTTGTTTTAATTGCCTGCTTCTTCCTCTGAATCCCACATAATGGACATGTCTTATGAAGTCAGAATACATGTTTATATTTTTTGTCAGGTATCTCTAAAACCTATTATATCACCTGGCACATGATTGACATTCAATAAATAGGTATAAAATAAATGGAAGCATGAAATATTTTTTGTATTTCAAAGGAAATTGGTAAAATAAATCCCTTCTTTTGTTTCCTTCAAAATGATTGGCACACATTAACGGACACCACAGTTTATTAAATAAGAAACTGATTTTTGGCCCAAATCCATTGAAATAACTTGAAAAATGAATAGGTCTCTGACATTAGAAGATTTTAGCGAGAAAGCCACTGTTGTGCTATTATTGTCATTGTTTTGCAGTTTTCTAGATTAGTCCAGTGGCTTCAAAATATATTTGTTTGGTCATTTTTGGTAACTGCGGGTAACATCTTGAATGTCATCAGAATTATCATTTTGAGGGATGATCAAAGATGCTCATAAATACTAATCAGTATGTAAGTACGCTTCAAAGTCTTGACCGTCTATGAATTCTGGACCCACCCAGGCAGTTGTCTCTTTTTCTCTACCCCTTCCCCTATCTGTTTTCTGAAGCCCACCTTGAAATGTGTTCATCTTCCCTCTGCTTTTCTCCCCTCTGCACCCACATGCATGCCATGTATGTATTCATCCACCTCTAGCAAATCTATAGAAAATTGGAAGAGAGCTTTTAAAAAGACACAAATCATTGCAGGTTTGGCATTACCCGCATCATCCATTTCAGTTGATTTGCTATTAGCATCTGTGATGAGGCTTGGAGGTGGCTGCCAAACCTTGAATGTCACTGAGATGAAATTTAGCTGGTGGGGCTGGAGCCAGGCTCATTACTGTTCAGATTGTGGAGCTTTATGATTGTCCTCTCTTGTTAGCATGCCTCCATTTGAGCACAAAAAAGCATAGATTGCTTTACAGAATCTATCTTAATTAATCATAAATAGTGCCTGATGGGAAGATTGCTGCTTTCATCTTAGTTAAATAAAACACAATCACTAAATCCTTTTCTTGCTCTAGGTTTTCACAGTATTGTGCAGGTTGCCTCCTTACATATTTGAGATGCTTCGAGGTCTAATCGCATCAGTGTGTTACTGATAGCCTCATTAGGCTGTGCCATCAAGAGCTGTTCCTAGCCCCTTCTCCACCAGCAGAGCCAAGTCCCAATGAGTTAAATGGGGACACTGGAATGGCAAAACAATCTACTCCTTCCCAGCAGCTAATTAAGAAGGAGGGCAATGCATTTTGCTGAAGACGTCAGTGAGTTTGTCTTGCAGCTCTTCAAGGGTGACCTTGTAGCAAATGGTGAAAGTACAGAAGAGAGTCGCTCTTGCATGGTAAATGACCATCAGCAAAGTTCAAATGCTACAGAATGGGTGGCTAAGTATGCTAGCAAAAATTGGCTTTGTTTTCTGCTCCTTTGAGCTCACAACATATCTTTTCTGTACAAATACAGAAAGCAAATAATGGAGAACTTAAGACTCTACTTGAATGAACAATATATAATCAGCCTCTTGCACCAGTAATATAAATGCTGTATATTGGGTCTTAAATACAGCAGTTTACCATGGGGCACTCATGTAATATAATGGATGTATAAGGAGTGGCATAATGAGTAGCATAGTTGCCCTTCTCTCTTGCCAACCTCGACTTAAAGAGTTAAAAAAAAATCCGTAAAATCTCAATTTCCTGTCTCGTTTTCCAGCTTCAGGTGAAGTCCTGTGATACAGTTCTGACCAATGAAATAGGAGAAATATATGGATACCACCCTTTCTCCTATCTTCTTCCCACCTGTAATAAGAAAATGTAGCAGTAAATGGGACCATGAATACAAAATCCACATGCTGAAGATAGCAACACAGGAAAACAGAGTCTGATTTCTTAAATCCAGAAGGTCTTGATTGACCTTACAAACTACAGATTTCCCAGGCCCAGACCTTCTAGTGCATAATCTAACTCCCTATGTATTTAAGTACCTATTAGTCAGGTCTTCTGTTCCTGATAGCACAAGTCAATCTTTTCTGGTAGAGAACACAAATGACTTATGATTCTGCCTTTTTTTCCAAGAACTTCATATTTCTTGTACTCCATTTGTCCAGACTATTTACCTGAGTGTAAACAGGAGGATGCCATGTGAAAAAGGAATCAGACTTCATTCAACTCCTCTTCCACAAAGAGCAACAGCTTCTTAACCTTCAGGAGTTAATCAAATTCCCAAATTCACAAATGCCTCTTATATCAGCCAGAGTTCCGCCAGGAAAACAAGAACTACATTATCTATTCCAACAGTGGGAATTTGTTATAGGAAAAAGGAGAAGAAATGCTGAGGTACTCCAGAGATAATGACAGCAGGGGAAATTACTACTCCAAAAGCTAGGTGCACTGAAGGAAGAAAGTAGGCATAGGCAGAGCCCAGGAGCTCAGAGAGGGGCCTCAAAGAGCTGGTAGTCAAATATGGAAAAGGATGCTCTTGGGAATGAACATATTTAGGATCTCAGAGGAGTCTGGGAGCAGACGTCTGAGATAATGGTGTTGCCAGGCTGTTGCTGATACCTAAATAGAGATGTGATGAGGCTCATAGGTTAGAACCAGTTAGTCAAACATCAGAAAATAAAAGCTACCATTAGTCTTACCATTTAGACATAAATATTGCCAGAAATTAAGGTTCACATCTTTAATAAACATAGGTAATATTTCTTACAATCTGCCAAATGACCTTTTACATGCTTTGCATGTGTTCTATCTTTTGATCCTCAAAACAGACCTAATAGGTAGATATGAACATATTATTCCCAGTTGGTAGATGTGGAAACTGAAGCCCAGAGAGGTTAAGAAACCACCCAATGTCGCACAGACAGTAAGCAGTAAGGCTGGATCCAAATCCAGGCACTCTAGCTGCAGAAACTGCACATTTAACCACTAGCTATATTATTGCTTCTTCTATACTCTTCTTGGTGATTGAAATTTTTCTTTTGAACTCATATATAATACTTAACAATAACATGTTTTATTTAATGTAAAACATGTAAAAGGTGTGTGTGTGCTATCATCTTTTCTTTAAACTTAAATCCTGGACTAGATTCTAATATGGCAAATTCCTTTGATTTTACTTAAAAATTTGGGGAAATATTTCATTCTTTTTGAAAGTTAAAAAATTATAATCTTGCCAGTGCATTGTAAGAGGATCTGTTTCCAGAAGGCTCATTAAAATGAAATTCTAGCTTTTTATTATTTGACAGTTGTGTTTTCTTCTATTGTTATGCCCATTATTTCTTTCTTTTTTTTTTTTTCCTGCAGTCTTTTTCCCTTTTTCTGGAATTTCCATTATACATTTGTCCTAAATTTGTCGTCACGGATCTCATGTTTTTCTGTCATTATTTTTCTCTAACTGCTGGGCAACTTTCTCACGTTGATCCTCTGATTCATTGACTTGTTTTACTTTAGAACTGATGCTACTATTCACAGGTTTCTTTGCAACTTTAAATTAAGAAGCCATATTTTTAGTCTCTAAAATAGTCACTTCTGACCTCAACTTGTTTCACAATTATAAATGTATCCTAATATGATAGGTACAAAAACCTTTAAAATTGGGTGTGACCACGAATGAAACATTTTCTAAGAAAGTTTTGTAGTTTGTTACAGAAATTATTTACAAAGGTGTATGTTCTAGTAATTTATTATTATGAACTGCTCAGTTGTTTCCTATGTCTGGTAGTTTTCTATTTACTTCCTCCTACTGATCAAAATATAAATGTGTCTAATTATGATGAGCTCTGTTTGAAATCATAGGTGCCCCCATTTAAGTATGTCTAACATAGATGAATGAAGAAGAGATAAATTTAAATTTTGTACAGTTTCAATTCGATCTATCACAATTACGTGGCCTTTAAAAACAGCAAGGACCCATGAGCCATCACCCAGCAGATATATCACCAGAAAATCAACGATTGTCTTTTGAATATAAATTGTGGTGGCTTAAAGTCAACATGTGCTTAAAGCACCCTTCTGCATTGGCACAACTGTCCACCTTATAACAAACCAGGCCAGCACTGCCACTAGAATGACCCTTTGCCTAAAGCATACACCTTGAGCAAGCACCATAACTGGATCCCAATGTCTGGACCTCTTCCCAAAGGCAATGGTAGCATTTACTTCTCTTCTTCTCCCTCTCTTAACCTAGAACCCATCTCAGTCTCCTTTTCCTTTTTCTTTTCCTTTTTTTTTGTGATGGAGTCTTGCTCTGTCGCCCAGGCTGGAGCGCAGTGGTGTGATCTCGGCTCACTGCAACATCCACCTCCCAGGTTCAAGCGATTTTCCTGTCTTAGCCTCCCGAGTAGCTGGGACTACAGGTGTGTGCCACCACGCCTGGCTAATTTTTTGTATTTTTAGTGGAGATGGGGTTTTACCATGTTAGCCAGGATGGTCTCGATCCCCTGACCTTGTGATCTGCCCGCCACGGCCTCCCAAAGTGCTGGGATTACAGGCATGAGGCATTGCGCCCGGCCCTCAGTCTCCTTTTCTAGCTGCTCCAAGTTCATGGTTGCTAGTAGTGTTCTTTTAGGAGCCTCTTTCATTTCTCTTCTCAGGAAGATTTTTCTTTCTCATAAAATGAATTGCCCACTGGCCAGCCCTTCCTCAAACTGACTTTATCTTATAGTATATCCCATCCAACTTTTGACTGGCAGCTGGCACTCATTCTGGTGTCTTGGCCTGACATAAAATGTTTTTCCCTGGATATTAATGCTTTTTTGCCGTGCTAATGGAAATTCAGAAACAAGTGTAGCTAAATGTATATGAAAAATTTTCCAGCTGGGTGCGGTGGCTCACATCTGTAATTCTAGCACTTTGGGAGGTTAAGGTGGGCCAATTGCCTGAGCCCAGGAGTTAAAGACCAGTAAGGGCAATATAGTGAGACCCCATCTCTACAAAAAATACAAAAAGGAGCCAGGTGTGGTAGCATATGCTGGTAGTCCCAGCTATTTGGGAGGCTGAGGTGGGTGGATCACCTGAGCCAGGAGAGATCAAGGTTGCAGTGAGCCATGATTGTGTCACTGCACTCCAGGCAAGGCAACAGAGTGAGACAGTGAGATCCTGTCTCAAAAAACAAACAAACAAACAAGCAAACACTAACCAAAAATCAAAATAATTGTCCATTTACCAGAACATATTTCCATGACCTATTCTTCCATTTCCAACCCAGAAGTTTACTTTTAGAATATTTTTCACAAATACACAATTCAAATTATTCTTTCAGGATTAACATTTATGTAAAGATGTATATTCTCATTTTCTAGCAACAAATGTGCAATTCAGAAGTGTGATGATATTACAGGCTACACCATTCACTTAGAAAAAGTTGTGAACACTGAATGTACAATGTATCTCTAAGCCCATTCCAATTGACGGTAAAATAGGTACCACTGGCGAATTTCAAAGTTTTATCAAGTGATGGAAACATTTCCATAGATAAGAGTAGAAAATAACCTTGATTATATATGGCTCAAATGTAGGAATAGATTATCTGTAGCTCTAATGCTAAATGCAGTTTCGCAGGGCCTTACTGGTAGCCTTAGAGCCATAGAAAGGACAAATTAAAATGTCACTCTAAAGTATGCTGATGTGACTCAAAATTAAAAGCAGTAAAATGTCCACCAGAGGAGTAAAACTCACATGTCATTAAGCAATAAACAACACCCCTTCCAAAACACCAAGATGGTTTTAAATTATTCTGGCTCCTTGATAACTTCTTGATGTTCTTAGACTTCCTCACTCAAGGCAACAGGCAAATGAAACCAGTCTCTGTTGGTAGTTTTCCAACAACAATTTGTCTAATCATGGAAATAGCAATGTGTCCTAGCAGTCCCTAACAGTTCCAACATAACTTCCTTGCCATGAAAGAGGGGCTATCTTTTTAGATTACTCACCGCTGCCACAATCCAGCATGTCATTATTTAGGAAGGAGAGTAAAACAAATTCACTTCAATGAAGGTAATGGAAAGGAAGGGAAAGAACCTTTGAAGACTTATATTAAGGCAGCAGCATGATGACACCCTGCAAGTTAAATAGAAGAATCCTTTCTGATGTTACTAGTGCAATCTTTTCAACATAGGACACATGTGTCACTAGAATCATAATAAAGATGGCATCATAATCATGTTTAGTAACTGTTAAAGATTTGACCAACACTGCAGATGCAAAAGATGGAAAAGAACTGTAATAATATGCATAAGAAAGTAAGGATGGAGGTCAAATTTCTGTAAACAAAAAGCTCAAAGTGGGAAAGTCACCTCATGTCGTCAATATTAAAAATAGGCCCATCAAAGAATCTGCCAATGTGCAAATACAGCTCTTCATCAAACCTGCCAAGTCGAATAAGAGCCAGAGTGATGGTCAGATGATGGGTACAAATCTATCTCCATCACCCATCTGGATGCCTATGAAAAGTGACTTGAAAGAATATCTAATTCACATATTCCAATAAAAGATTACTAAGTCACTGGACATAACATCAAGAATAGGACTTCAGCAATGCTGAAGCAAACTCAAACATATTCTCAACTTTTAGCCTGGGATTTGATTTAAAAACCAGGCAAGAAGTATTTTTTTTTTCTATTCTTCACTTTGAATCTCAATACAACTTTTACACTTCCCTGAGGGCAGTGATCCAAGCAATTGCATTACTACTTTTATTAAACACACCCCATTCTCTGAATGGATTTAGATCTGAATGTGTCCTCAGGTACCTACATCTAGCACGCTAAGTGGTGGGAAAGGCAGAGAAAGAGACTAGAAAGGGCCAAGGCAGGGTTTTGCTGGATTAATGTGACTGTGTTAGAATCAAGAACAAAAATCCTATTAATGTAGGATGTAAATTCTACCCACCTTTTTATTGCCACAGAAATCCACCCAATATTATGCCATTTAGAAAGCACATTACGTGTTAAATTGATTAAACATGCTTTGAATTTAGTATGAGTTATGATATCTCAAATTGGGATCATATTGATCTACTCCTTTGAAAGGAATTAGTTGATTGGTTGGGTTTAGAGCCACCCAGGTTATGTAAACCCACTCAACTTTAATTCTAAATCAAAATGTTACTTTGAATCTAAATGTAAGACCTTGTGTTCAAAGAAGATCTTAGGGAGCTCACTTGAATTGGAGAGTCTAACTGACAAAATTAGAAAAGAAATTATTTTGAAGAAAACAACAGACAACAAAGATGGGCTATTATAATTCAGTTCTTAACTTGAAGGTAGAGACTGCACATACTTTAAGAGTTTAGAGGAAGGGATCACATCGTGGGCTTGAGTAGCCAGGAAATTGGAATTGAAGTGGTAAAATCTAAATGAAGTCTTACTCAATACAATTTGATTAGGTTGAAAGGGGAGGATATTTCAGCAAGCAAAGACAGAAAGAAAGGACTAAGGAAAGGAATGCTATTCTTTTAACTACAGTGAGTAAGTGCTTCTCTGCCTCTTGACTTTACTGCACTGTTTCCCACATTGTTTTAAAAACTATTGATGAAATAGTTGAATGACGAATGGTTCCAGAAACAAAGGTAGAACATACAAATAAGTGCTAGTAGATTAAAAAAGAAAATCATCAGAAATTGAAACCATAAAAGAAAAATTGCTGGGACTATATAATGGATTCAAATGTAACCACAAACTGATATATGCAAAAATGTAACTTATTTTTCTATAGTCAAATATAATTTCTATCATTAAGCTTCCATTCTTCTCAGTAGCAGAAAACTGATATCAAGTTGCTTTCAGGTAAATTTCTTCCCATTTAGTCACTTCTCATTCAATTCAGGTTTATAATGCAGTCATATTCAAATTTTAAAATCACTCTCAGATTTTATTCTCTGTCTCCCTTTTCCCCATATTGATTTAAATCTCTAGAAAATTTGAACAACTGCCACTACAAAAGCAATAATGAAGAATGAGAACCACCATTCCATAGTTTCACTATGGTTATATCCTAAACTGGCAATCTGTGAGATACTATACCTTTTCTTATGTGGTCTTCAAACACATTCTCTTCATGCCGACACTCACTGTGGTGACCAGTCATCAGGTTAAGGATTTTGATTGATGAACTCTGTTCCTGTAACTTCACTGAGGTATCCAAACCCCTGCCTAGTATTTAGCTTGTAGCCTCATACACTTACTTGGATTCTTCCTTGCTCACATTCTCAGGCCTTTTGAGCTTTTTCAGCCCTCCCTTAGCCCTTCTGTATCTTACTTACGAGCACTGGGATGGTTAGTCTATTAGGACAGCTCATCCTGATGCTGTAGAAGGCTTTGAGTTACAAACATAAACTCACTTTGCATCTCATTTTTATAGAGATGCAAACCTCTGAGCATCTCTATAATTCCTGCCGCCTTGTAGACAAGAGACACATCACGTGTCCCCTGCCTATCATAGGGACTCTGGGCTGGACAAGCAAAGCTCAGCTACACTCCATTCCTGCTCATATTTGTCAACCTCATTCTCAGCCTCAATATTGCCGAGGTGGGGGTTCATGCACACAGTGTCACAAACCCAATAAATGACCTACCTGCTAATCTCCTCCTTACCCTGATTAGAAGATTTTTTTTTTTTTTTTTTTTTTTAGATGGAGTCTCGCTCTGTCACCAGGCTGGAGTGCAGTAACACGATCTTGGCTAGAAGATTTTTAAGTGGCTTTATTCAGGGATCTAGGTGGAAGGAAATTGGATCTATCACATTTATTCTCATTTTCAATTTTTGTTTCCTTATACCTGAGAGTGCCTTTTGAACTTAAACACAAAGAATAAAATGTACTTATTATTCCTCCTCTGATCAGTTCAAATCTGGAAGGGTTATCAGCAGCTAAACTAGGAGGATGGGAAGAGTTTATGTAACATACACCAAAATTATAACACACCAATAAGTCTGCCACAGCCAAGACTTTCAATGTCAAGAAGTAAAACAGTAAACTGAAATGTAATGGTAACGTAAGATTCGAGCAAGACTTGACTATAATTTCTATTACTCTAGGAACAGAAATTCTACTCACTCATTTATTTATTCATTTAAAAATATTCGTTGAACACCTATAAGTGGCAAGGGAGTGGGATGTACAGCAGGTAAGGTTCCAGCTCTCATTGAACTTACCTTATAATGGGGGAGATATAAAATAAACATGTACACAAATATTTCCTGACAGTTATAAGCACCATGAATGAATTAGAATGTAGGGATAAAATCCCTAGAAGTGGGGGCTACTTTAGATTGGTGGTTGAGGTGGTAAGATTTTTTTTCTTTTATTGTTTTTAATCAAGTCTGAAATTTTCCCAAAAAATAGCACCTGAGAAGACTGACTGTTTACTGTCTTACAGAGCTAGAAATACAACAGCTAATGGAAACAGGCTCTGCAGGCCTTCCTTCCCTGAAATGGAACTCTAAAATGCTTAAAAACAAGGCTAGTTCCAGACTCCTGTTGTTGTGCTGCTTTTTTTGAGAGTTTAATTGCTTTTGAATGCATATGAATGTCAATTAGAGCCAGGCTAAATATGTCTTCTTGGAGACAGAGCATTTGGTCTTTCTTTCAAGTTCTTTTGTTTGCTTGAATTAGCTTTGTAGTTTAACAGATGTTTTTGGAGGAAATGGAGACATAAGCTTTTATAATACTGAAAATTAAATGAGAAACAATACTGTTCTCTTCACCTTCCCCAAAAACATGCAACGCTACGAAACTGGCAACCCACCTTACACTGCAGAAAGTCTTCACATATAGAGGGCACATGTTGTTAAAATCAAAGATATTTTTTGTGCACCTGTAGTTCATTAAATATTGTTCATTCTTTGGGGAGTTACATAATTGAATGTATAAGTGATTATCCCTTTAGCCTTGGGAAAGGATAGTGTTTTCTAGATGCATTAAAAAAAAGTCCTCCCTTTAATTAAAACTAAAGTAAAACTACTTTAAGAAAACAAATACCACAATCTTCTGCACCAAACATGCCCCTCCAGCCTTCTCCTGTTCCACTACACAATCAAACTACTTATTCAAGCTGAAGAAACCTACACACACACTCAACATGTTACTGCCACCTTTCCTGGTATGACGATTTTCCTTTAACTGGACCCCACTCTCCTCTCAAAATTAACATTACTTGTGTGCTGTCCTTGCTTCTACATTATTGTCATATTCTTACTGGAAGATAATAGTAACAGCTTTAGAATCAAGCCTATGCTAATTCTAACTCTATAACTTAGTACCTATGTAATCTTGGACCAGTTGATTAACTTTCCTCAACCTTAGTTCTCTACTCTGTAAAATGGGGATGATCTCCATAGTAGTATTTCATGACTCTTACGTGATATAATATGTAAGTGCCTGGTATGTGATATTCGTTATTCTCTTGAAAATGGAGATCATGGCCTTCCAGTATCTTGTCCAATATGTAAAGTTCTTGGAAGTCATAACTCCTATCCTCACAATAAGGAAAAAGCAGAACAAAGTGAAACTCAGCAACCGTTCTTAGATATATCAGAGAACTTAGGTCATGGGGAAAATTGCTGCTGTCAAAACTGGAGAGACAGACAAGCAAATACGGAGAAGCACAGCTTACTTGCAGCAGAGCCCAGGAGCAGATGCCCAGAGCTGACGCTGGTATTGGTGGAAACACTTTAAACTGTAAATGATGAGTTGCTGGAGGCTTGGTGTGGATTAGCATAGAAGTTAAAAGCTCAGGTAGGGCTCATTCTTAGGGTCTCATTGGAGTTTTACCCTTAGGAACCCTACCAGATTCTCACAGTGAAATTGGAGAAAAATCCCCTCGTACATCCAGCAGGAAGAGGAGATGGTAAATATTTTAAAATTTATGGAGCAAGTTTTGTTCTCTTTAACAAGTCTTGCACTCAAGGAAATTATTTAACCAGAATCATTTAGAATTTTACCAGAGCCTAACCTAGCATGACCTAGGTGAAGGAAATACCCAACTACAGCCCCATCTAGCCTTTGACATGGAGAAGGGAAACCCAATTCAGGCTCACTAAAAGACTGTGGCCTAATCTTAGGACTGTAGAATGCTACCCCTTCTATACAATGATAGAGGATTACAACTAAAAGAACTGCATGCCTCAGATTCTATTTAAGGGGGAGTCTCTAGGGGTACCCAAAGACAACACGGGAGACAAAAACAAAGACACTAGAAAAAAAATTAGCTTTTGATGTCACAGCTAAAGCGAATAGTAAACATAACCTAACCTCTAGCCAGACAAACATAAAGCCTCACATAAAAGGCCTATCTTTATTCAGTGTCTTTTATTCAGTGTTTCATGTCCAGCTTTCAACAAAAAATAACATGGTAAAAGACAAAACTTATAGTCTGTGGAGACAGAACGAGCAACAGAACCAGACTCAGATGTGTCAAAACTGCTGGGATTATTGAACTGGGAATTGAAAACAACTATGATTAATATACTAGTGGTTCTAATAGAAAAGGCGGGCAACATGGAAGAACAGATGCATGATGTAAGCAGAGACATGGAAACTTTAAGAAAGAGTGATACATAATTAAAAGGAAATGCTAGAAATTAAAAACACTTTAACAGAAATGAAGCATGTCTTTGAAGGGCTCATCAGGAGACTGGACAAAGTCAAAGAAAAAAAATTGTTGAGCTTGAAGATATGGTAATAGAAACTTCTCAAACTGAAATACAAAGACAGAAAAAAAAAAGAATAAAAAATTCAGAATAAGATATATGTAACCCGAGGGACAGTTACAAAATATGTAACATACATGCAATGTGAATATCAGAAAGAAAATAGAGAAAGGGATAGTAAATATATTTGAAGTAATAATGACTGAGAATTTTTCAAAATTAATGACAGACACCAAACCACAGATTCAGGAAACTCAACAGAACTCACAGAACTCAGAGAACACCTAGCAGTATAAATTCTAAATGAAAATCTATACCTAGACATAGTATATTCCAATTACAGAAAATCAAAGATAACAAAAAAATCTTAAAAGAAGCTGGGGGGTAGGGGAGAGCTGAGGCTAAACATCTTACCTGTAGAAGAATAAGGATAAGAATTACTTAGAAATTTTCTTCAGAAGCCAGGCAAGAAGAAAGTGAAGTGAAATATTTAAGGTGTTGAAATAAAAAATACACCAACATAGAATTCTGTATTCAGTAAAATGATCCTTCAAAAGTAAGGAGAAATAGCTTTTCTTGAACAAAAATTGAGGAAATTTGCCATCAGTACATCAGTTTTGCAAGAAATGTTAAAAGGAAGTTCTTCAGAAAAGAAGAAAAATTTTATAAGTCAGAAACTCATATCTACATTGAAAAAAAGGAAGAGCATTAGAGAAGGAATAAACTAAGGTAAATAAAGCATTTTTTAAATGTTTAATTGGTTTAACCAAATCGGTTTAAAATAATAATAGCAACAATGTACTTGATGATTATAGCTTATGGTTAATTGAAATGACCAGAGCAATGTTACAAGAAGTGGGAGGCAGAAATAGGGAATATTCTGCCTATTTATAGGTTATAAGGTACTTGCACTATCCACAAAGCAAAATAATGTTATTTGAAAGTAAACTTGGAAACTAGAGGCCATTTTCTCTACCCTCCTATTGTCTATAGGTGATTCACTGAGGAACACTTTAAAGCCAAAATGAAATATAACAGTTCTCATAACTCTTATAACTAGAAAGTCCTGTAACTAAGCTCACTGGTTTCAGGTATACTTTGATACTTGGTTTAAATTCAGATTTAGGACTAAGTTCCTCTGTGTCTTAGACAGGCTTTGCTCTTCTCCTTAAGTTTCATTTTCAGACAGAAATCTTATCTTTTGTGGGAAATGGCTGCAGCATCCTCAGACTATGTCTTCACTGCCTCAAGTCTAGCAGAAAGGAGAGAATGACCTACTGCACAACAAAGATTCAGTGTGATTCAACAGGGTTAAGTCACATTTACATAGTGCAATACATCCCATATGCAGGGGAACACTATGCGTGGACTGTGTTACTTCATATGCTCCATGATTAGGTCTAGGAGTTTTGTGAATTTCACCAGAGCACATGTGTTGAGCATAGAGGAAAAGGTGTTTCTGCAGGGCAATTTTTCAAACAATGGGGCATATAATTAGTGAATCATGAAATCAATTTAGTGAGTTGCAACCAAACACATTTTTCATTTTGTTTTTGTGTTTGTTTCTACTTTTAGTAGAAAGAATACAAGGGAATGGCATAGAGGAGAAAAATGTGAAGAGAAAAGAGGAAAACTATTAGAGGATCTCACAGGTAATGAAGATAAATATTACTTCATAAAATCTGTGTTTTGTAGGATACAGTGTTTACTAGGTTGCAGTGTTAAACACATTCTTTTTATAGGTTTCTTTAAAAATTTTTAAAAACCATCGTCCTAGTGGAAAATTAAATGTGATTATCAAAAGAGATATGGAGGCTAGACAATCAAAAATGCATGAAAATATACTACATCAGGTGAGACTATTTAATAGGTACTGAGCTGATATTTGGTGAATAATTTTTAGAATTTATATTTTGATTGATATGCCTCTTGTCATTGCATAGAGTTTAATCACATCCTCTAGAAGGAGACAGTTAATACTTCCACAAATTAGAATTTCTGAAGGAATTGTCATTCTCCTTGAGCTAAGTGTTGAAATGGTTCAAGGTCTCAAGTGTCCTGGGCTGAGGCTTGCATAACGAGGTATTCCACAGCCAGGTGGCTACAAATGTAGAGATGAGTAGAAGGGGGCAGAAGATGATGAATTCAGTACCATATGTCTCTGACATCATCTCTCTCGCAGGATTACCTATCCTCCTTCCTCTAGTAAATGACTGTCCGTGTTTATCTAAGCCGGTCACTGACCTTTGGGTTCACACACTCCATCTATTTTCATAATAAATGTCCGTAGAATAAAAGTTGATTCAAAAGCAGAAGAATTTACTGGGTTGGCAGGGACAAGAAAGATTAAGGAAGAGAGAAACGAAGAAATGAAGGAAAGAAGGAAGAAAAGGGCAGAGCATTTTGTAAAGTTTTCCAGATCATACATACTCAGAATAGCAAAAGGAACCTTGAAAGAAATTTATTTGACAACATTAAGCACGCAGCTGGAATTTTCACATTACATGAAGGAGGCACACAGCCCAAAACAAAAAGCAGAAAAGCCAACATTGGCCACGGTAGCCTTGTAAAATGGAGCAACAATATAGCTATAGAGAAAAATAAATCCAATGACAAAACTTTTTTTTTTTTTTTTTTTTTTTTTTACTTTAAGTCCTGGGACACATGTGCAAATTGTGCAGGTTTGTTACATAGGTACAAATGTGCCATGGTGGTTTGCTGCACCTATCAAATCATCATCTGGGTTTTAAGCATTAGATATTTGTCCTAATGCTCTCCCTCCCCTTGTCCCCCACCCCCTGACAGGCCCTGGTGTGTGATGTTCCCCTCCCTGTGTCCATGTCCTCTCATTGTTCAACTTCCACCTATGAGTAAGAACATGCGGTGTTTGGTTTTCTGTTCCTGTACAACACATCTTCTAACTCTAGAGTCACTAGTGAGTATTGAATATCATTTTCTCTTTTTCTTTCTTTTTTCTCTTTTTCTTTCTTTCTCTCTCTTTCTTTTCCTCTTCCTTTCTTTCCTTTTGTCTCTTTTTTTTTGGTGGAAGGTGCCAGAAATAGCAATATCAATCTTAAATATATATTATAGAAAATGAGTAGCATTGTAGAACCATGTTATTAAAGATCATTCCCTGGCACTCCTTCCTCTTAGCAGAGAATATTTGAAATCCTGGCATAATTAATAATTCTGTGGCTAAATAGGTGAAAACTTTCAACCCTTTTCCCTCCTTTTATCAGCTTCATCTACATTATTAGCCTCTGTGTTCAGACAGTACTTAATATTATTTCATTTGATCCTATAAAGTGATAGCATTTCAGAGCTGGAAAGGATTTTAGAAAACACCATCAGACCCCTGCATTTTATAAATAAGAAAACTAGAGCCCTGAGCAGTTAATCAACTTGATCAGTAACACAAAATAATTAATATTAGAGCAAGAACCAGAATTGGTTGTGAACCAATGGCTAACTTGTTGAAAAAGGCCATGTAGGTGTCAATGTTCATGGAGTGGTTTGATTTCTCCAAAGAGAAGACACCAAAACATGACTTGACATTGGTCCAGTGGCCAGCAATGGTCCAGTAGCAGCAAAAAGGTACAAAAGGGCCACAAACCAATTACAATGAGAGTATTTTGAATCAGTGTTTTGATCAATGTGTGAAATCTCACAACAATTGTTCAGAAAATTGTAAGTGTAGCTTTTGTTAAGACTGAAATGCCTATCAGTAATTCAGAAGTTTGTCTTCCAGTGAAGAAAGAAACCTGCTCATTTACCTGGTACCAAACAACTTTCTTCACTGCCTAAATGCACTTAGTTTAGAGGCCCAATAAATAAAATGATTATTCTCAAGCATTAAATTTTAAAACAAAGCCATGAAAATTGCACACTATATTCAATTTAGAGAATGTCATGTTTATATAGCACCATTAGTATTTTACCTTTCATCATGAAACATATACTAGAAAGTTACCTTGTCTGATTTATGATTTTAAGATTTATGATGTTAAACTTCTGAGTACCTGGTTTGGCATCCGAAATAAAGCGTATTCAGTAGTTAGTAAAGAGGCATAATTCTGCATTATTAAAACCGGTTCTTGCCCTTTTGGGGGGGTTAGAGCTATTCCGAGAGCAGAGCTAGAGAGAGAAAGACATACCAATTCCAAACATACTAAGCAAATCTCCACAATTTTATAAAATGAGCCCCATAAATTTTATAAAAGGGACATCACCAGATGAAAATGGCAAAGGCTAACCAGAAAGCTGAATATATACAGCCAGATTAATTTGTTAAGAAGCAATTACTGTCTTTGGAAAAGGAAGCAGGCATCAAAAATTCAAATAATTGCCACTGAAAGTATTCTCTTTTTCTTTCAATTTTTTCTTCTTTTCAAGTTGGAAACCCAATATTATTAAATATTTAGGGATGACATTTCTTCTAGACATTCAAGAAACCACATTTTATGAACACAATGAAAAAGAATAATTCTTAGAAATATAAATAGATGGTCATTTTTTGTCTCTGTCGGTGGTGTAAAAATTATTCAAGACACAATTACTTTTTGTTGAGTGTCTCTCTCATATGTGGGAAGTCTTTCAAACACTAAATACACATTTAAACTCTCTCACAGGGCACGATAAGCTTCCTCCAAAAAACGCAGTCATCATTATTCCATCATCTTACCTCAGTAAGGCCTTGTAGAAACGCATAATGATATGATCCCTTTTTCATTGGTTGTTTATGATTTGGAAACTCTGGTATAATCCAGACTTGGAGAGATATTTGGTTTTGTTTTTCTTTGAGGAACGGATTCAGCACATTCCATTGGCCTCATTATAACACTTTTGCCTTTCATCCCAGAGTCTGTGTTTTGCTCCAACTAATATGATATAGGTACGTGGATTCTCCATAGACATCCAATCTTCCTTGAGAGCTCACCAAGTGTCTCCTATGTGGCAGCTCCAGTCTGGGCATCTTGAAGGCAACACATAAATATAAGACATCACGTTGGCTCTTGTGTTGTATAAAGTGTAACCCAAAAATGCACTAAGTATGCTATTCATATGGAAAATCTTTTTCAGTGTCTATTGGGCCCTGCAAGTAGTTAATGTTATAAACATTTAAAACAAAGAGACTCAAATACATAAAGAGAGGATGGGAGCAGGAAAGAGAGATCTAAGATTCACCTTTAATGTTAGAAGTGCTATCTCTCTCTTCTGTATTCTTAAAGGACTTACTGAATGTGCCTGCATATAGTTCCCATATACTCCTTCCCCTAACACATGTACATGTACACTCCCAGGCACATATTGGAGGCTTTTATTGAATATTATAGATATAAATGTAACTACTAAGTCAAATAAATGCTAAGAGCTCGGAGTTCTGTTTCTTTGGTATTTCAGACCATACCAACTCCTGAATTTAGACAGCTCAAACACAGATAGGATTAGGTGATTTTCATAGACTGAGATCTAAACAAACATTTTTTGATATAACAAATATTTGTTATTGAACTCCTACATATGTGAAACACATCACATATAAAGTATTCCCCCTTATTCAGAGACCCTACTCAAAGAGAAAACCGGTAACTCCAACATGAGGTGCCATGATGGTGGTATGAAGAGAGTGTAATTGGAGAACAGAAGAGGGTCACTTAGTCCAGTATGGTGAGACAATAGGATGAGAAAGATAAAGCTCTCTAGAGAGTGGGAAGGATAGGGGACCCCAGAGAGAAGGAACAGCATCAGCAAAATCATACTTGCTAAATGAGGAAGTAAAGCAATGAATGAATGAATGAATGAATGAATGAATGAATGAACAGGATTTGGAAGGGAAAGAATTATCTGTAAAAGGAGCATCATTTGAGAACAGATAGTACAATGACAAGTATCACCAGATTAGAAATCTTAGGAGGAGGAGTTTTGGGAAAAAATGCAGATAAGTTGATTGGGGCAAAATATCTAGAGTTCTGGCTCTCTGATTAGAAGCATGTTTCTAAAATAGTACCACTTCTCCTTCTTATTTCTTAAAATTTCTATGAATTTTTATTTTATTTTTTCAAAAAAATTTCTTTTTAAATTGGCACATAATTATGTATATTTATAAGGGTACATAATGCTGTTTCAATACATATATTGTATGGTGATCAGGGTAATTAGCATTTCATAATCTCAAACATTTATCATTCCTTTATATTGGGAATATTCTATATTCTCTCTTCTAGCTATTTGGAAATATGTGTTATTGTTAACGGCAGTTATCCCACAGTGCTATAGAACACTAGAACTTACTCCTTTTATGTAGCTATAATTTCGTATCTTTTAACAAATCTCTCCCTAGCCTCACCTTCCCCCTACCCCTCCCAGACTCAAGTAACCCATTCTACTCTTTACTTCTATGACATCAATTTTTTAGTTTCCCCATATAAGTGAAAACATGCAGTATTTATCTTTCTGTTCCTGACTTATATTACTTAACACAAAGTCCTCCTGGCTCATCCATGTTGCCATGAATTACAGGATTTCATTCTTCTTTGGGCTGAATATATTCCATTGCGCATATATATCACATTTTCTTTATTCATTCATCTGTTGCTAGACACTTGGCTGGTTTCTGTATCATGACTGTTGTGAATAGTGCTGCAATATGCATGGGCGTGCAGATATCTCTTCGATACATTTATTTCCTTTCCTTTGGATAAATACCAAATAATGGGATTGCTGGATCATATGACGGCTTTTTCTTATTCTTGACCTATAAAGCCACGGTAATATCAGAACTGGGGAATCTGGAACTAACCAAGCCTTCTCTCTGTCAAGGCCAGTGTTCCTATCGGAGCTCCAATTTTTCCTAGGAGCAGTTCTACCTGCGAGGTGTTTATAATTGTGGTTGAGCACTCAGAAAATGGTTTGGCAGTCCTTGATGAGAGAAATGTCAGCTGCATATGTATGCACACAGATGAAGGCACTCATATGAGTGTTCTTTTTCCCCTTCCTACTCCACACAGATACTAGTTTATTCTAGGGCAACTATGGACCAAAGGATTCTACTTCAGAGCAGAGGATATAAGTGCCAGAAGATCTAGAGAATGTGGCCTAAATCCTAATATTTTATGAGGCCAGGAGTGTGGAGATTCAGATCTGTATTGCAGCCATCAGGGACTTCCAAGAAAACTCTAAATCCCATCTAGCTAGGATTCCATTATAATGAATTAGACCTCCAGGGATAATGTCAATAGCAATTTTCCATGGAAACTACAATGCAGCTGACTGATCAGCATTGCACAGTAGCCAGAGAAGACTATTTGGAGTCTGACTACTTGGGTTTGGATCTTCACTCAGCCTTTTGTCTACTATGATTTTGGGGCATGTTGCCTGATTAATTTGAGCTATGCTATTGATTGGATGAAGGTCACCAATTGCCTGTTAAAAAAACAAGTTCAAAAGACTGTACATCCTCATGCAGTGGTGAGCCTCTAAAGTCTTCCTTCCTCCATCTCTGGCTTCTCTCAAATTGCCCCATCCTTGTTGCTCAGTTTCTTCTCATGCAGTTCTCTACGTCCTTCCCTTGCTCTGTTTTCTCTGCCCACTCTTTAATGTGGGCAGAGAATGTTTGTGTAATCTGGGAGTGTGGCCTTTTTCTCATTTCTTCAGGCTCCCTGGGGAGTCTCATTGTCTTATTTTAAATACTAATTAGGAGAAAGTTATTCCTGAATCTTGAGTTTCAAGCTCAGTCTCTTTTAACTCCAGACTCATATATCTGACACAGAGCAGTGTTGACACTTAGTCCCACTCTTCTTCCAGGCATCACTGGACTAGGTAAGCCATTTGGGGCAAAAGCTCACTGAATGGCACTTGGTTCACATATAACATGTGACATTTGGTTTTATAGTGTACTGAAAGGCAAAAGAGGCATTGAGAAACAAAAACAACAACAACAACAAAAAAAAAACCTGAGAGAGGAACTCAAAAAATATAAGCATCACTGAGGATAATAATGGCAATGGATAGGATTTTAAATGTGTTTAAATTCTTAAAAATATAACATAATATTTATTTTCAAAAACTCACAGGTCATGTTTGAAGGATGGTTAGAAACCTGATTATTACACTGAAAAATTGATATATATAGGGAAAATATCAGGTATCTCCCTTGCCTTTCTTAAAAGAAATATACCTCAGGGCAAATAAGGAATTGATGAAGTTTCTCCTTATAGGTAACATTCTAGCTACTGTATAAAGACGAAATGAGAAAATTGGAATATCACTATAATACATATAATGTAGCATAATGAAATAATGAACCCAGATGTTTGATAATCAATAGTTGCTAACCTCACAAAAAGACAAGCAGACATGATGTGCTTTTAGTGGAAAAAAACAATTCTACCTTGGAAGTGTTCTGGCTCAAAGATCAGAACCTGAATCTGATCAACTATCTAACTCAAACTTCAACCTACAGGAAACAAAAGGAACAGAGAAAATGCAATCAACATCCGCAGTAAATATTAAAAGAAAAATAATCTAGTTTCTTCAACAAATAAATAGCAAGGATAAAAAAAGATATGAAGAGGGACAGACCTAAGAGATATATTCCAAATTCAATGTATGTTCCTTATTTGGAACCTCATTGTACAAACAAAATATAGATAGACATTTGATAACAACTTAACAGAGACTGACTAGAAATTTGGTAATAGCAGGGAATTATTGTTTATTTTATATGTGTGATAATGGTATTCTTTTTAAAATATATATTTTTTAGACATTCATAACTGAAATATTTATGAATGAAATGATCTGGTGTCTCAAATATGTTTTGAAAGAGTCAGGGGTGAGGAAAAATGAGTGAGGTATAGATGAAACAATATTAGCTGTGAATGGTTCATTGTTGAAGCTAGCAATGGATGTATTGAGTTTTATTAAACTATTCTCCCTATTTGTGTATATGTTTGTAATTTTTCATAATAAGACATTTTTCTTATTCTGGGACAATCTGATTGAAGAAAGGTTCTGATACATAAAGAGGCTTGTTATAAAATTACTATTAGAGGAGGAATTAGTAGGATATAAGCATCCCCAACACCAAAGATGGCTGCGGGTAAGTTGGTTCTCTAGGTGCCAAGTCTAGTATGGTTCTCATGGTGCACTATGCTCATTAAGGAGGGAGAAGAGAGATTGCCAAGGAGTAATTGAGAGTTCTCTCAGCTCCTCAAGTCAATCACACTTCATTAAACATTCTTGTAGCATAAGCATTACCTGGAGTACTGATTAAAAATACAAATTCTAGGATCCCAACAAGACCCTCTGGGAAAGGAGCTGAGAAGTTATAGGTTTAACAAGCTCTCCAAGTGATGCTCATCATCAAAGTTTAGGAATCAATCAACACTTAATTTCAATGTATTAATACTATAGGGCCTTCAACTGGAAACACTTTGTAAACAGTTGGAAGTTGGGGACAGTTGGACTAGAATTAGATGAACAAAGAGTGGTATAGGTTTGGGAGTCATTTTCATATATTTCCAAAAGGAATTCAATAAAGGCACTCCCAAAGCGGGAAGGGGAAGATCATTTTTAGTAGCTAAAGGGCACTATTAGCAATTCTGGGTGCCAATCACTCATCCCTCTTGCCCTCCACATCCCAACTGATTGAGAACTGCACACACAACCACATAGGGCTTAACATATCAATTGTTTTGATGACATTGAATAGAAGAATGGAATTTAGACCTGATGCTGAAGTAGGGATTCCTATTTCTTCCCTAATAGAATTGAAATTAATGTACTGCAGGTAAAGGACTCACCTTATATACGTGCCTACTTCTCTGGGCCTTCAAGAGGTTTCCTGGCTTAGTCTTTTTTTCTTTCTTTTCACTGCTGAGAAGAGACAGGTTAAAGCATTGGCCCTTCTAATTGATGAATAAGTTAGGCATCTAGAAAAATAAACAGATTGGGGCCTGTTTCTTGTTTTTCTGTCATCAGGAGTTCACTGGCTGATAGAATAGCCCACTGGATGCTGGGTTCTCCAACCCAGTAAGGAAACAGTAAGTCCGATCAAAACAGTAAGTCCGATCAAAACAGTAAGTCTGGGAAACAGTAAGTCCAATCAAAAGGTCAGAAATAACCCTTCCAACAAGTCCCTTCACCCATAGACCAAGAAGAATTTAGAGGTTAATGTTATTTGCTATTGGCACCATCTGCACGAGCCTCTGGGCTTCTTTCATGCTTAGTCACAATTTCCGTAAAATGATATAACCAGCTCTTAGCATAATGAAGAACAGAAATGAGGTTTCAAGATTCATTTCAGTCACAAATTCTGTTGAAAGAGATCATCAATTAAAAGTTTTGGTAAAAAGTTTTGATTTCCATTTCTTGTTAATTGAGGTATGTTATATCCTCAGAAGATGCCCTGGCACATAGTAAGCCCTGAATAAATACTTGTTGTGGTGGTGGTTGTTGAATTAATTTGTTAAGGGACATAGCATTTGTGACCATGTTTTAGGGGAATGGTTTTATTAAACCTAAGAACTGCGATATTAAAACTATTTTAAAATGCTGAATCTGCCCAGTTGACTGCTGAAAAGATACAAACACAAGTATTGATCCTACATGGTTTTCAACATACTTCATTTTACTAGGGATCAGTAGGAAAAGCCCAGAGTTTGGAATTTAATATTTGTTAATTTAAATCTTAGCCCTGCCATTTATAGTCTATGTTGTCTTAAGCTGGTTAATTGACCTCTTTCTTGTTCATATTCTTCATCTGTAAAATAGTTATATTAATTCCTCTAACTATAAAATAGGGATAATATATCCTTTAAAGTGTTGCTAGAGGAATAAATGGATCACATTTGTGAAGTGTTTCTCTTAAAATACAATGCTTATATAGTATTTTAACATTTTAAGGTACATATATATATTGTCTTCTCATTTTAACTGCTTTTTAAAATCCTATGGCTAAAGTAGGATATATAGTTCTATTCACATTTTGCAACTATTGAGACCAATATTCAGTGAGTTACTTACTGTATTAGTTATCTATTGCTATGTAATAATATTACCACAAACTTAGCAGCTTGAAACAATCCACATTTATTTTATCACAATTTTCGTGAATCATGAGTCTGGGCAGTTTATCTGGGTCCTCTCCTTAGCATCTTCAGAAGACATCTTCAACCAAGGTGTCAGCCAAGGCTGCAGCTCATCTGAGTCTCAACCAGGGAAGACCCACATTCAAATTCACTCAGGCACTGAAAGAATTCATCTACTTGTGGTCACAGAACTGAGGCTATTTCTTAGAGGACACTCTCATTTCCTCAAGGCTATCCACAGTTCCTTACCATCGGGGGTCCCCAAGTTGGCCACATGCTTCCTCAAAGTCAGCAAGGAAGAAAGAGAAACCCCAGCAAGACAAGCACTGCAGTATGATGTAATGTAATCTGTGATCAGATGCATCTTGTCACGTTGCTGAATTGTATGTAAACAAGGCAGGTTGTGATGGCTCACGCCTGTAATCCCAATGCTTTGGGAGGCCAAAGCAGGAGGATCCCTGGAGCCCAGGAGTTCAGTGCTGCAGTGAGTTATGATCATGCCAGTGCACTTCAGCCTGAATGACAGAGCCAGAATCTGTCTTTAAAAATAAAAAGAAGAAGAAGTGTATCATAGTCCTGCCTACGCTCAAAGGGACGGGATCACATAAGGGTGTGAACATCAGGAGATGAGGATCCTCTTAAGAGTCTGTCTGCCACACTTACCCAAAGGCATATTTTAGAGACAGAACCAGAATAACAGCACTTCTAGTCTATATTAGATGCTCTTTTTATTTATGTGCTCAGTCAGTTTTCAGGAAATATTTAGTGAGTATCTACACGAGGCACTGTACCAGTTACAGTAAGCCCTGTAACAATGAATACTAAACAAAAATTATTTCTAAAGAACAGGGAAAATAGGAGGTGCCAAAATAATTATGCCTCAATGATAAGAATGATGTTAGGAGAAGAGGGGGAAAGAGTTATGACTGATGTACTTAAAAGGCAATGACAAGTAGTTACACTAAATAAAGAAAAACGTTGAGTTTATAGAAATGGAATAGACTAGAGAAGAATATAACTAAGCAAAAAAGGTAAAACATTTTGACTTTGTTTTATAAGCAATGAACAATGAAAAACATTTTTGTTTGTTTTTCAATATTTGTTTTTGAAGAAAAGTAATATGTGCAATGTAAGGCTTTGGTTATACTAAAAATAATGCTGCTGAAAATATACTGGAAGCAAGTCACAGTTAACTTGGCCACAATTGTTATTTCCTGTTCGAAGACATTTTCTAAATATGAAAATAGGATTTGGTAAATGTTGGTTGTTTTAGTACTCTATGATGTCCTCCAAAAATAATCTCATGATAAACACTGGCAATGATACAGCAGTTATTTCCATTTACACATCTCAGAGCAAGAACGACTTAAATCGTTATAATGTTAAGCCTTTATCAGTGGAGGTATAGAATTGAAAGGGTTTAAGCTGGGGAAAGAAAAATGATTTAAGGGTTTGGATGAATTGCACAGGCCCATAAAATGGTATTAAATCAGTTCTGAAAAGATTTGAAGAGGATACAACACCCTGTAAGTGTGTTACACTTTGCTATCATTAAAGAATGGGATCGGACAACATAGAAGAGGGAAATGTGAGATGGAATATCAGAGTCGCAAAAGACACTTAACGTCTTTAGAGGCATCTGAACCATGATAGTCGACAACTAAGCCATTGCTCCCTTATCACACCAATAATGATCACTGTAAGAAAGCTTGCGTTCAAAGCAACTCCCAAAGCCAGGGACTGATAGAGGCACTCACAGACAACATTTTGTTTTCCTCTCTTCAATCAACTCAAGGATGCTGTGCCCATGTATAACTGTTACCATGTGGGAAATCAGACTGGAAGTCTTAAAAAAGCTCGTTTATCAGCCAGGACAATAGTCAGCAAAAGAAGTTAGGCAATTACTCTTTTAATTTCCATATCCAATGCTCTCATGTGGTTTCTGAGTTCTAGGGTCCCCATCTATGGTACTATTATTGTTCAAAATGGTTTTTTTTTCAACTCCTATATAATACATTTTTCAATCAGAAAACAGAAGGAAATATCTAAGCCAAAGATAGAAATGAGTGTGTTTATCTTAACTCCTTTCGCCCAAGCCTGTGGAGGATGACTACAGTGACATAAATGTGCACAATAGACCGGAGCTGATTTTCCCTGTCAATTATATACTGCTTGCTGTCTGTTCAGTTCCAAGTAATTTCCATGTCTTATTTATTTAACCTCATGAGAACAGAGTGAATCTATTTCTCACATGAGAAAACTGATACATAGAGAGATTAAGCAACTTCTTCAAAGTAAAAGAGCAAATAAGAGTGGAGTGAGAATCGAAATCCAGCCATTTGGCACAAGGGCCCGCACTCTTCTCCACCATACTCCAAGGACAGCCTATTGATGAGGCCACTGGAAATTCCTTATTGTTAGCAGTTGGAGAACTGTGTGTCACATGCTCACGTTTCCAATAAATAAGTAGCCAGAATTATTTTAAGTAATCAAATTTCAGATCCAGGGACCACCCAGTTCAGAAACGACACCTGTATATATTTCCTCACAGGATAAGCCTATGAATGTCTGCTCTTGGCTTATTCTCACAGCCAGATGCCTGAGAAGCCATAAAGTACAGAGGATGCAAAAAGGACGCTATGACACATTTCTGCTGATGTTTGAGGTATTTCAGTTAAGAGCAGTAATATGTTCTTATTTAAAATGCAGGCAGTTAGATTTTTACAATGCCATAAGAGGAGAAGCAAACAAAAATGTTATGTAGTGGAGGTGGGTTATCAAATACTAATTAATCCATAAATGCATGGGAAAATGTGCCTAACAATATAGGGCCTCCGAAGATAATTCCTTATGTTCTCATCTCTTCCCCTAATAGGGACTCACATAATAATTGATCGGTATAGGAGTCATTTCTCATAGATTCCAATTTAGTACCTGGAGCCAATATGACACTTTCATAAACTAAGCTGTCAATGACTATAGATTACCTAAAATTTTCTTCTAAAGTGTACATCTACTTTACAACAGCTAATGCCTGCTTGTGGTCTGAGATCCTCAGTCTGGGATAGCTAGATCTCGTGAAGGGAAGTCAAAGCCAGGCCAGGTATGAGTCAAAACACGGCTCTTTAAATAAATATACCTGTAATTGCGGCCAGGTAAGAGTGGGTCATGTTAGGAAAATACAATAGAGAGTTACTGAGATGAAGAGGATTCTGGTTGGAATAGACAACAGGTACTGGGGGCACTCTTGTTCAGGAAAGCAAATTTCAGAGTATTTCGGTGCTATAGACCAACACTTCTCAAAATTGAATGTGCTTGAGCATCACCTGGAGAGCTCGTCAAGATGCAGATTTTGGGCTGGGCGCGGTGGCTCATGCCTGCAATCCCAGCACCTTGGGAGGCTGAGGCGGGCAGATCACGAGGTCAGGAGATCAAGACCATCCTGGCTAAAATGGTGAAACCCCATCTCTACTAAAAATACAAAAAATTAGCCAGGTGTAGTGGCGGGCGCCTGTAGTCCCAGCTACTCAGGAGGCTGAGGCAGGAGAATGGCGTGAACCTGGGAGGCGGACCTTGCAGTGAGCTGAGATCGTGCCACTGCACTCCAGCCTGGGCGACAGAGCGAGACTCCGTCTCAAAAAAAAAAAAAAACAAAAACAAAAACCAAAAAACAAACAAACAAAAAAGATGCAGATTTTGGTTCAGTAGGTTTGGAGTGGAGCCTGGGGTTCGCATTTCTAATGACCACCCAGGATACCCGCCTTGCTGGTCTGTATGTCATGCTTTGAGCAGCAAAATTCTAGAACAAGCAGAAAAAGGAAACTTTCATGCCACTGAATTAGAGAAAATGGGAGTCATGCCAACCCCCTAGAAGTAACCAGAAGGACAGCTGCTGAGCCTGCTTTTGAAGGAAGCACAATCATAGGGCTTTATCTGCAAAGCCAAAGTGCATATTCAGCTGATTGGATTCACCACATCACTGGTTACTAATGGCAATCGGAGATTTTGTGCTGGACCTATTCCTTGCCTTATGGGGCAAGATGTTAATTTTCTGTGGAAAATTATGTAGAAAAGAAATCATAAAGAATGGTAAGATCAGGGTCTCTAGAGTGACATGGTCTGAGTTCAAGTGACGTTTCCATTATTTGTTAGCTCTTTTGCCTTGGTCAAAGTTTTCTGTTCTATAATCATTATTTCCTTAGTTGCAAACCTGGAAAAACAATACTTCTGCTTAAAGGCAGACTAATTAAGAGATGGTTCCCAAAGTTTAATGGATTAACACAATAAAACTTTATTTCTTGTGTGTATAATAGTTCAATCATAGTTTTTGGCAGGTGGGTTTTTGTATTAGTCCATTTTCATTTTGCTGATAAAGATATACCCAAGACTGGGCAATTTACAAAAGAAAGAGGTTTAATGGATTTACAGTTCCAAGTGGCTAGGGAAGCCTCACGATCATGGTGGAATGCAAGGAGGAGCAAGTCATGTCTTACATGGATGGCAGCAGGCAAAGAGAGAGAGTTTGTGCAAGGAAACTCCCGTTTTTAAATCCATCAGATCTCATGAGACTTATTCACTATCATGAGAATAGCATGGGAAAGACCTGCCCTCATGATTCAAATATCTCCCATAGGGTCCCTCCCACAACACATGGGAATTATGGGCACTACAAGATGAGATTTGGATGGGGACATAGAGCCAAAACATATCAGTTTTGATAATGTAATTTGGGAATTCAGGAACCTTCCACCTTGTGGTTCTATATTTCTCTATATATTCAGAGTCCTCTGATTCCAGCTAGTGGATATGGAATGCATGTAAAGAAGCATGCAGGGTGATTTTTATTAGCACACATCAATTCTACATGTGTTCCATTATCTAGAACTTGGTCACCCAGCCCCACCTCACTTCTAGAGAGAGTGGAAGAAGTAGCCTATCTTTGTGGCTAGAACAAACACGGAATAAGTTTGGTGGATGTCTATCCTATCCCTTCTCAACCAGAGAATTAAGTCTTAATGCCTTAAGGCACCCATGGCACATAATAAATTAATCTCTCTCCCATGCATGTAGATGGTACTATCTCTGTACCCTCCTTGAGAAGATGAAGAAAATCATCACTCAAATAATTTCGGTAATGCTTGGCCAATTTCTGCTACACTTGCATGTCACAGAAGATGTCTATACAAATGAAAGCTGCTACAGAATAGAAAAATAGAAAAATGAAGCAGGCCGGGGTGGAGGGAAAGAAAGTTAGTATCAGTAAGAAAAGGGGCAGCCACTTTGTGAGATGGGTTCCTTTTGCTGCATTGCTTTTGCAGTATTTTAAACTTTCTGGTCTACCTAATGACCTCTTAATCTTTCTGAAAGTCTTGCTCTGAAGTCACTTTCTGCAAAAAGCTTTACTGAACCCTTCCTTCAAACCCATGTGTCACTGATTTCTCAATAAACCTTAAGCAACATAATGTGTTCCTCAAATGGCATATTGCATATGTGCAGTTATTTATTTATATGCTTGCCTCCTGCTGAGAACAGAAGCCACCCCCCTCTTTGCTTGGCACATAATATTAAGTATTCAATTCATATGTTTTGAAAAACTTAAGATTTTTTTGGTCAGAGAGGAGAGTACTCAAACATGTTTAGTTTTTTTGAGGTTCCAGGGCAGGGGCACCAAGAGCTGCCTCATATTTCTCACCCTGGTATATAGTTCATTTGTTGGGTCTATCCTTAAACACATCCTTAAATCAGACTAAGGGAAAAGGCTTTTGTTTTCAGGATTGGCAAGCCTTGTAATGATGATTTCAGCAACTGGATTAAGCTAGTGGAAATGATCCATGGAGCTACAAAAGTGTTCTCAGTACTTCCCAAATCTTGCCTCATAGGCATATTTACATACACAGCATTAAACGTGTGTATAACATGGCTTGGATATGGTGGAGGAGTGCATTCTTCCATTATTCTTTCTTGTCTGAGGAAACAATCTTATTTTCTGGAATGGTTTGAAGCTATAGTTTGTGTCTCTAGAAGTGCTCTGTTAAAAAGATGAAGACAGAGGATCGCCTTCTCTAGCACTCACTGATGCATAAAAAGAGATGAAGCGTCTGTCCTGCACAACCACCTCTCTCAATTCAGTTGCACTAGAAAATCAAATGAATATGTGTTTTATCTATTTAATCTCATGAATCCTATGCAAGCCTGGTCCAGGGGCTGACTGTGACAAGCCATCAGAAATCTCTTCGCAATTTTGTATTTTCCCATTTTACAATTACCTGATAAATGATTATATCTGACAGTTTTTAATCTATGTAAGAGTGATCATTGGCGATGAGGGCTTTAGAAGAATTGTATTCATATGGTTCTCCTCGCACATCCCATTACCTGCTTTATAATCAACAGATACGCTGCATGCTGACAGTCTTTCATTACATGCTCTATTCAAGGCTCTATATTCAAGGCTCTAGTGTGTGTGTGTGTGTGTGTGTGTGTGTGTGTGTGTGTATACACTTTACTGCTGGTACATGATAAACAGTAAAGATGCACCCCCTACTACAAAAACAGATTTATTAATAAATAGCTGACACTTCGTACTTTTGCAGAATGCCAAAGCAATTAGTGACAACAGTAGAATGATTTTCAATACCTACAGAGCAACATATCATATTGATTCAAGCTCGTAGCTTTTTCTAAATAACAGCCAAGGAATTGTCTACTATATTTGGTCAATTCCTTTAAATAACAGGTTGAAAAAAAAAATACATCAGCACAACTGTTTTGAATGTCTTTCCCCCTGGTTCAACTAAATATAGAAGCCAATTCACCAATATAGAATAACTTAGACTAACGAGGCCAAAAAATTATTTTGGTGTCTTTCGTCTTATGTTTGCTTATCCCACCAAAGCGAATCTTCATCATCTGCAGATTTCATATAAAATTGAGATATTCACTTGATTTAAAAGCAGAGAATTCACAGTGGGAGAAAATAGAATATTTAGATGATGAAATCTTAGAATCACAAAATCATAGGACTATGAACCAGAAGAAATTCAAAGAGCTGGGCTAGTTCAATTCCTTCCCTGGGGCAATATAATATTCCTACTCCCGACCTCGCCTAATTCACACAATATTACAGATGACACATTGAAGCTAGTGAAGAGAAACTGGTTAGCCAGCAAATAAGAATTTGTGATGGATCAAGAATTTTGCACCCTCCAATTCTCAGCACATTTCTTCCAAGGACTGTCCCTTCATTTATTCATTCAATGACTGCTAAGTCCTGAGCACTGTTCTAGGCTCTGGAGACACAGCAGAGAACAAACACAGACAACATTTCTGCCTTTATGGATCATACACTATACTTGAAAGAGACAGACCATAAATAGATAGCATTTTAGGAAGCAATAAATGCTATATAGTAAAGCAGGGTCAGCAAAAATAGGTTATGCAGAGGGATGGAGAATTGCACTGCTGTTTTGAATATCATGGTCAAAGAAAACTTCATTGATAAAATTATAAATAAGCAGGGACCTGAAGGAAGGGAAGAAGGGAGTCATACAGCTCTCCAGAGGAAGAGGACTCTGGACAGTGGCCCAAGGTGAAAGCAGACTGACTACGCTCACGTGTGTGTCCATTGGCATGCTAATTTTTCGTTTCTACTGTTTATTTTATTTTATCCCTCTCAATTTCTTCTTAGAAACTGCCTTTCATGTTTCTTTTGGAGACCAAGATAGCTCCACAAATCATTACCTACTTCCGCCATGGCTCCTGATTCTTGGATCTGTGCCATTTCCCAATCACTGCCTCCGTTTCTATTCCTGCCTCTCAGCATAATTGTCAACCTCCCCCATCCTTTGCCCAGTTCATCTCAGGACATCTCACAATTCCCCAGTGAGGGGAAGCCATGCATATTCTCTTCCGTCACATTCAACACCTGGGGCTTATTTGGCCTCCTTTCCTTGAATTTTAGTTCCATCTTACGCATGTCCTATTGGTGATTTTCTTTATTTGTTATTATAAGTAGCAAAAATAAATTTTCTATGAATTCTATTTTGAAAGTATCAAGATGCATCCTTCTTTATAAATCCAAAGTCTACTTACAAGTCTTCAGATGTATCAGAACCCATCAGCCAATTTTTGTTTCTACTAATAATCCTTAACAGTTCATCTATCTTTGTGTGTTTTTTTGTTTTCAATCCTATGTGCTTACTATTTGGTAAAAGTTGTGGAAAATGTCTGCTTATAAGGACTTTTTGCTATTTTTAAACCTTCTTCAAATACTTTGCTCCTGACCAACTTCACTATCTGAGAATCTTGCTCTGCCTTTTCCATTACTTTGCTATATGGGACACTGTTCCTGGCCATCTTATATCTTTCCTTCCACTCCTCTGCTTACTTCTGTTAGTATTCCACGCATGTAAACTGCTTCACTGAGCTTCAGTCCTGTTAAGTTCGAAGTAAATATGTAGAATAATATATTCACATATTAGCTTTTCTGGTTGAAAAGCTCTAATGAAAAAGAAATACCTGTGCCAAAGCAGGAATACTAAAGTTAGAAATGGAGAAGCAGCTCTGCCTATACAGTGGGCCCAATTTTGCTCAAAAAGATACGATTCAAATAGGTACAGTTTTCAAGAGTCATCATTTATTTGCAGGCTAACTAGCAAGTGCATTATTTATTTATCCTCCTGTCAAATTATTCTCTCTGATGTGATTTTGAACATCCTGGGCAACATTCTTATCTGCTAAAACCCAGGATTCAGTGTGCACAGCCATTATTAGCTTGTCTCTAAAGCAGAAAATACGATGTAGACTCATCAGGGGACTCAATTCTTCTAATGATCATCCCATACAGTTCCCAGTGATTGTCCTAGGATGACCAGTCAGATCCTGGGGCACATAATGGCACATTCCCACCAGAATGTGGAAAAATCCTAATTCCCTTTTCTCATGATGCTACATTAACAGGCATTGCTACTCACAGGAGGAGCAGACTGGAGACCTCCATTGATGGGAAAGTGTAATCCACTTAAGGTTTCAAATCCTAAATATCATTTGGTGTTTATTAAATGGGTAATTTTGCCCCCATTTTCTCCCTCTCCATGTTTCTTTTTAAAAAATCAGCCTTCCCTGCTTCTTTGAAATACATCCTCCACTAAATATATTTCAAAGTTTGAGCAACATCCAGAGTAGGTATGGAGTTCACATGCTGACCCTGAGGCTGTGTTCTGACATTGCCCAAGCGTGGGTGCAAGGTCTACTTATTTTTATGGAACTTGCTACCTCTGTTTCAAGTGCTCCCATCCACTCCACTAAGAATATGCTTCCCTCAGCTCCAAAGAAGCAGCTGAGAGCTCCTTGACTTCTGAGGGAATGTAAGACGGCTCCTGACCTCACGGGTCACTCATTCTGCAGGGCATTGTCTGTACACTCTATGTTTCACAATTTTCTCTCTCACCCAACTTTAATCTTAGGGGCTAGGGAGGCAGATGGTTAACCAAATGGTGAATTTTGATGACTCAAAAGGGGAAGTAGGAGTGGAGGAATGTTCTTTACCTGTCTGTAAATATCTTCTCTTAATTAGACTGACAAATACTAACTGAGTACGTATTCTCGGCCATGTGTTGTGCTAAGCTTCATGGGCATCTTCAGAAAGCTTGCAATCCGTTATGGAAATATGTATGTGAAGACGGCATATAAGCTCACCATGCCTACTGTTATTTCAGGTATTTAACCTCTCTTCAAGATCTCTCTTTTCATCCACTTTATCATAATTACTTCCCTTTCATATCCTCTCGTGTCTCCTAACCTGCAGCGCCTCAAATTTGACATAGTATGCTTATGGATAGCTGACAAATGTAACAGAAAATCTGTTTATTTTAATTCTATTATTCATCCAAAAAGCATATATTAAGTAGGCTTAGGGGGAAATAAAAAGGAGCTCAAATACTATCCCTTCATTCACAGGTTTCGTAATCTGGTTGTGGGGACAAAAGAGACACACATAAAACTTTGGGAAAATATGGGCAACATGGCATGATAAGGAATGTGAGTCCTGGCGGAGACCAGACAAGACAAAAGAAGTGCGTGCTGGAGAGGCAAACAAGACTGCATGGAAGGTTTGGAAATTGGAGTGTTCCTTGAAGAAATTTGCAGAGCAGAAGAGAGGCTTCAAACTTTACCATTAGACCCTGGTGTGGTGGTATTTCTTGCTGTTAATGAGGTATATACTGACGGCAACCACCCACAATTTCTCACACCCATCTCAAAATACATTATATATAACATGATATAAATATAATCACTGTATTCAAGATATTTAAAATGACAATTTTATCTTCTAAGTTGTAGCTGTTTCTCTCGGCATTTTGCAAGATGTTATAGTTGAACTAACAGCTGAAACCAATAGGCATACTTGCTTTGGGCACATTTTGTGATCTCTAAGGAAGAAACATTCATTAAAGCAAACAAGTATTAGCTTCAAATCTATGTTTTATCTAAGGCTTTACTTGTTGCTATAGGATGTACAGGAGTGGAAGGCACAGGACTCACTGCCAGAAAAGGCACCAAACTAGGAGCCCTTGAGGTAGGATTCAGCCTTAGTTCTTCCAGTACTGAGCATTAACTCATTGAACAGATCATTTAAACTTCTTGGGCTCAGTTTTCTCACCTGTAAAATAGAGGTCATTATACTGGCCTCAACTTCATGTCAAGGTAACTGTAAACATAAGGTATATCATAGATATACAGAGCTGTTATAATTATTAAAGTGCTCTCAAAATCCTTTATTTTCAAAACCTGCTTTCATGGGAGTGAAAAATCTCTACTATCATTTATCATAAATAAACTCTTCAGTTAGAATACACACACATATATATATTCATGTATATATATATGTATATATACATACACAAACATACACACACACACACACACACACACACACACACAGAATGCAAGAATGAAACATGTGGAAATAACTATACACAGTATTCTTCCAAGTAGAAACATAAATCCATGTGGACCTTGAAGGTAGTGAGGAAAGATGGCTTGGCCCACAAGCTTGGGAATACATCCTGCCTGGACCCCAAGTGTCTGAACTGTGGTTACATGTGCCCAGGACTATCTCCCAATGTCCTGTGAAAAGATTTATCTTTCAACCTCGTTTTGGATAGAGAAAGAGGCAACCATCTAAGAGGCATTTGTTTCATGTGTTCAAAATGGCTATATTCTTAGATAAAATGAGAAAAAAGGCCTACTACAGAATGATTGTATAAGGGCAGAGTCACCTCAGTTACAGAATTAAGATTTAACTAACTGAGGTGAATACATTATAACTGTATTCACTTAGATGCAAAATGTCATTTCTCATGATCCAATAAATGAAGTGTAATTACTGAAAGCACATAAATGATAGAACTGAACATTTTCTCCTCATGATCATGCTCATGACAAGAAGTAATTTCACATATCTAAGTAACTGAGAACTGGATAGAAACACCCCAAAACAGACCAAATACTTTGGACATAAAGTCGACATTCAAGATCATGTTAAATAATCAGAAATCGTGGGCTATTGGACAGCTGCTGAAACCCTAATGTGAGTTTCACTGTCCCCTAGGAAATATTCAACTCACGTTGAAATTTATTTGAAGAGACAGAAACCTAGGAAATATAACTACAAATGCCTGGCACGACCCTTTGCCTTCTAAGCCAAGAGTTTTGACCCTTGTTAACTTTCCAACATCTTCTTGCCACTCTTTCTTTCAGGAATTTCAATGCTTTGTAGTGCAAAGATAATAAACAGTCTTCCGATTGCTTGTATTGAAACACTTACAAAATTCTCTATATGATATCCAAGTGAAGTCAAGTATACTATTTTATGCTTATCCAGGAACCACGAAGTCAGTCCTTTATCCCTTTTCTCTTTGGACTATTGAATGCTCAATCTTTAAACATTATTCTTATTAGGAAGAAAAATTATTCTGTCAAGCACTTCTCAGAGAAAATCTGCCTAAATGACTTCTTATTCTTGAAATGATGCCGATTGCTTTCCTAAAACTGTATATGCCACTCAATGATATATGATTAGAAATTATGAGGCCAATATTCCAAAGGTGTTTCTTCATTTGCATGAGCAAAAAAGAGTACTTATAATTGTCCATGCAAATCAAGGACATTCATATGCAAATGCTTATATGTGGATGTAATTATGCCACTCCAATACAAGGATTGAGCTTTAATCTGTGATACAAATAAGTGTGTAAATATGCACTTGTTTTTTTGTTCCACTTGAAAAAAATACTGTCCATATGTGTAACTATTGATAGAAAAAGTGATGAAAGAACCAGCAAGGGTCACCTGTTTTATGTATATAACAAGATAATGTTATTTTCAACAGTCAATACAATATCAGCAGAACTGCCTCTCTCTTCTCAACTCCATGCCCCATTGCAGAATTGATCATTGAGCCAGACACCACCTTCTGTTACAATAAATTCACTCTGTGAAGCCAAGTCATCCTCTTTTTTTTGTATTTTGGTTCCCATTGAGCTTGCTTATCCTCCCAGCCTTCTAGACATGCCTGAACTTCATTATTGTTCAAATTAGTTTCCCAATAGGTACCTAAACCCCATATAAATAAGACAATATAATTGATGCTGGGGAAAGGGCATCACTAGCTCTATCTAAAATAAGTTCAGTTCTAGACCAACTAGAATGTCTGCTTTATAAATGTTCATCCAAACAGTCTCATCTGCAATACATTTTGTGAGAAATCAGTTATCCCAGGGGAATCATTTTTAAAGGAACAATCTTTTGTTCTAGAAATCTAACCCATTCAGTCAACACAAAACTAAAGACTTGTATATGGCAATGATCTAACAGCTCTGACTTTTGAGGCCCCTTTTCTGTATACAGTGAAGCAGAACAAAGAGACAGATCTATTTGCCAAAAAGGATGCTGGTATTAATTGACAAGGTGGCTCATTTTAGCTTGACCCAGACAGAATATTTCACTGGATGGGGAAATTATGCAGTGTTGTCAAACCATGAGTATTTCTCCTACCTTCCTTATTCCCCCAATGGACAGTGAAACTAATGACTAGAATAGATTTGCCTCATTTGAGTACAGATATGTTATACAAAATCTGAAAAAGAAAAATATTTACAAGCAACAGCTAGTGATCCTCTTACTGGAAAACTTGATGATACAAGCTATGACAGTATTTTCAATCTGAAAGTGTAGCTTATAGTAGAATAACTGTATTTATCTTGCTTTCAGCGGCAAGAAGCTGGGATGATGTGACCTGGATGAAAGATACTAAAATTTCTAGAATATTTACATGGTGTAATAGGGAAAGCAGACTAAACATTGAAATAGCAGACATTGTTAGAACAAACCACAACATAAGAAGAGAAAAACGCTTATTCTGTTGAGGTTACTAAGGACACTAACTGGTCCGGGGGTCACAAAAGAGATTCTGGGATCCCCCAGAACTATCTGAGAGAAGTGAGAGGAAGGACTGATGAGTGCACAATTGTTTTTGTAATTGCTATTTAAACACTACTTTTATCTCCATACTGGTATAGCTTGGTGCATGTGAATTACAATACCGTAATCACAACATTTCCAATTTCTACTCAATCAGTACAATTAAACCTTCCAAAACACTCTGATAGATAAAGCAACATTATTGATTTGGCTGAAATCTAAAACAATCACTGAGCATTCAGATCTGGTTCTATTTCGATCAAATTTAACCCTGGGCAACAAAGGACAAAAGGTTGTAATTGGTTATTGCTGAAAGAACTACAGAATTTCATAAAACTCAGTAAATGTAAAAGTTCATAAAATATATTGGAAAACAAAAAAAAGCATTTAAAAATTTTACTGGACTCAGAACTTTCATTGTTGCATTCTATCCCCTATAGCAACAGCACTGGTCTTTTATCTTATAAATCTGGGCTAGAAGCTACAGGGGCCTGTGTGGATGGTAAGGAAAGGTTTAGAAAAAAAATAAAGATCAGATGGTAAATGAAATGCATGTGTTTGTCTTTTCAGGGGGGCGCACTGGATAAATACAAATACAGTGTTGAATCAGATATCATTCTGCTTAGAAATGTGCCTTTTTCATCGCAGCAAGGAATGATTGTATTATGGTATCTTGCAGATAACATAGACAATACAAGAGAATTCTGGGTTCCTGATAGTGTGATATGCTTGCTCTCTCTCCGTGGAGCTAGGGAAAACCATCAGCTCCACTTTACTAATTTAAGATGGGGAAATAATATAATTGTAAAAATACAGAGCAAAGCCTAATCCCTGGTGTCTAACTATGAAATCCTCCCTTCTTTTTAGACAGATATGGAGATATAATTTGTCATCTATTCTTGTCATTTAAGTAGATGCATTCAGATAATTTCCCAAGACTGTTTTTAATGCAACTATATGAGTATCACTCAAAAATATCACAAAATCCAATGATAATCCCTTGTCTGATACAAGTTAAAAGAGAGTTTGATCTTGCATGCTGCCAACCAGCCTCTAGCCTTGCACTGTGCTCTCCCTCTGATTTCCATCATAGGCAATTTTATCTGTTAGAAGAGCCTGCAGTATAATCACATTGTAATACAACAGGGGTTGTATGCACTTGTAAGCAAATACTTCTTTTTGGGAAAAACCTCTCTTGGTCTTGTGCCCTACTGGGACCGGCAGGCCCACCAGCTCCTGCCACTCAATACAAATACATTTCAGTATCAGGCAGTTAATAGATACTGACACGTGAAGTGCTTTGCCTTAATAGATCTGTATTTATATCTAGCTTGTTTCAAGTTCAATTTGCAAGGCAGCCTTATCTTAGTTGCTATCAAATATGCTACTTAGCCTGCCATTTCTACCTGACAGCACCTGATGGTACAGATCTCATTGCAATGAAACTCACAGCTGCCTTCTCAACTTGCATGGGCTTTTTGGGCTACCACATTGTCATGTCTATACTCACATGGCTTCCCCTCATCTCCCTAGCCTACTTTATTTATCATCAATGCTCACCTCAAAGTCACCTCCTCTACCAAGCTTTTTTGACTTGAGACTCACTGTGCAATTGACCACATCCTCCCTTGAAGCACTGCCTCTAGACTCATCCAAAACCTTAAGGATATTTCAAACAGGGCACTTGTGGCACTTTTTCTGCCTTTATTTATTTATAACTTTGTCTCTCCACCAATTAGGATTTAAGACCTTAGGGGCAGGAATCAGGCTATATCTGTGTTTGTATTCCTAACACAGGCTATATTGTATTCAGGCTATATCTGTGTTTGTATTCCTAACACAGATATAGCCTGGCACAGAGTAAGTGCTCAATATATGCATATTCAGGGAATAATTCCTCTAAATATGTAATGTGATTGCATGGCACCACTGGCCAAAAATGAAGAATCTTTGCAGAAATAAGATATTTTTGCTTATATCAGAATTAGTTTTAAAAGAAAATCCTAAATAAAAATGTGCACACAGTGCAAACATCCTTCTATACCTTTTATACCTTTTCTTTTTTTTTTTTTTTTAATAGACAGGATATCACTCTGTCACCCAGGCTAGAATGCAGTGGCATCATCATAGCTCACTGCAGCTTTGAACTCCTGGCCTCAAGCGCTCTTTCTGCCTCAGTCTCCTGAGTATATTGGACTATAGGCAAGCCATAAGGCCTGGCTAATTTTTTTAAATGTTTTATAGAGATGTATTCTTGCTAGGTTCCCAGGCTGACCATGAACTCCTGGCCTCAAGTGATCCTCTCACCTCAGCTTCTCAAAGGGTTAGATTATACATATGAGCCATTGAACCCAGCCTCTTCTATACTTTTTGATGTGCATTTTTGATACTATCTCCATTTTCATCATATTTGTTCTCAAGGTTTTTCAAGATCCTTGTTTCCAAATAACATACTCAGCTTATCAAGGCAAGAAGGTGATCTCTGGAATCATAGAATTAGTCCCAATAACCAGGCTTCTACTAAAAGTCACATATCACTTATCCGAAAGATGCAGTTTATCGGTCCTTTTACTCCAGGCGTCTGAGCATTATTGTGAACCAAGTAAGAGTAAGCATGTGGTCTCACTTCCCTTTCTCTTCCCCCTGTTCATTCATTAAGTCAGTGAACATTTGATAGCCTATTATGTATCATATACCATGCTAGGCACTAGAGATTCAAAGACTAATAAAACAGAGTCCCTGTCCTAATGGAGCTCATTATTTAGAAAAGAAGTTCATTGACATAAAAAATGTGTGATAGGGATGATGAGAACTATGATAAAGATAATACAGAAACCAAAGGGCAAGGAGCAAGGGAACTTGATGGGAGTGTTTCATATACAATCCCCTGTAAAGAATTTAGAGTGACTTCTGGGTGAATAGCAACATCTATTTCCTTTGGCTCTTAAATCTACATTTAATCGACACCAAAAGATCTCTTATTGTTACTGAAATCCTGATGGACCCTTCTAAATGAGGAAATAACAAGAGTTCCTTGCCCTATTGGATATCAAGGCATTTTCTATGCCTGTTTTAGTTTATGACGTTTCTTAGTCCATGTTATTTTAGCTGATCAATGAGATACTCTTACACCATTTGCATTGATTGTCACACTGAATCGATCATGAAGCCAGATACCCTTACTTCGTTTAATTTCATTGTCAGATTGGATTGATCATAGAGAAGTTCAGTTAAATGGCTGATGATCAGCCACAACATGACTATTTGTTCAATATTTTCTTAGGTAGCCTAGTAATACAGACACTATTACTATACCAGTGGCATTCAAGGGTATAAAGCTGACAATTTTTTCATGTCCTCTGGTGGTGATTCTTGTAAATTATTTCCACCAGTTGGTTATGCATGGCTGAGACTTGAATATGGAGAAATCTCACCCAAATGTACTTAACCTAGGAAAATAAATGAACGTCACAGTCAATAGAAACGTGTGTATCTATGTGGATGGGCTTAAATGAGGAAGTAGATAATTGTGACCAGACTAAAACCAGAGGTTTGAAGATATCAGAAAGAAAGCAGAGCCATACTGTTGGGGTGTGGTCGCTCATGCCTGTAATCCAAGCACCTTGGGAGACCCAGGTGGGCAGATCACTTGAGGCCAGGAGTTCGAGAACAGTCTCGCCAACATGGCAAAACCCAGTCTCTCCTAAAACTATAAAAGTTAGCCAGGCGTGGTGGTGCACACTTGTAATCCCAGCTATGCAGGAGGCTAAGGCACAAGAATTGCTTGAACCCGGGAGGTAGAGGTTGCAGCGAGACTGCACCACTACACTCCAGCCTAGGCAACAGAGCAATACTCCATCCCAAAAAAGAAAAGAAAGGAAAACAAAGAAAGAAAGCAGAACCATACTATATGATTATTTAAATGAACCACTGACAGTGGTTGGATTTTTATGTTCTCTCTAATGCTGGAAACGTGAGAAGGATAACTCTAGTTAAATGACTATGTAGACAATACTGGTGACAGCTTCTAAAGCTGGTAACTCAGCTTATGTCCCATGCCTTCTTGGAAACCTTAAGCATTCTTATTGTGGAAAGAGTCCCATAAAATTTAAACAGTCAGTGCGGGTAAGCTAAACCTAAATGCAACCATTTTATTTATTCTTTTTGGCCTTTTATGAGACCAATTATTTATTTCAGCACACTTTCTTATTCAGAGACATTATAAGGATATCAAAGTGATCCAGCTGGGGTTTGTGTTCCTGATGTGAAATAAGAGATTTGTAGATGCAATAAATATCCTGAGTTAGTGATCCTTCTCCACCCAACAAGTAGCACTGGGAGCTGAAATCTAAATGGAAATGCTGCCTAAATCATTAACCACGATTCCCTTATGTTGGATAATAACTGGAGTCTGTCTTAAGCAACACAAGGTCTATAGATGTGCTAGACAATGTCAGAAACTGGCACGCATATACCACTTGTTTCACTTTATCTCTAGGGACCATTAGTCCTGTTAGTTAATCATTCTGAGTTGAAGAACAATTATCCCCAGATTATGTCTCCTGTATACTCTTACAAAAACATAGCAAAACCATCAACTTACATGTGAGAATCCCTCAGCTACAAGAGACAGCAGTCCCTTTCTTATTCCCTTAGATTATTTATTAATTCAATAAAATTTAGGAGTTCACTATGAGCCAGTACCACTAAGAAAACAAAAAATAAGTAAATTCCAACGTGATAGAGTCAGGATGCAGGTTAACAAATCTCCTTCCCAATCAGCAACCATGAAGGTGTACAAAACATTAAAAGAAACAACTTTAGCACTCTGGAAATTGGCCAAAAATTGAGAAGTATTTATTTATCAAGCTACTGAACTTTAACAACAATGAGGGTCTGTGATGTTCTTGCCCAGGACTGTTTCCATCCCTGCTGCCTCAAGTTTGATAGTTCAACCGGGGTGAAGCAGGCCATGAAAACCAGCAGCCTCATTGTCACTGCTGGGAAGAGGGAGAGAGCTTACATGATTTAGAGCATTGTTGATTAAAGTTGTGATGTTGCTGGAAACCAAAAAAGTGAGCTTTAAAACTCTAAGATTGTGCTTCTGTTTAGGACAAGTCATGGATTCACAAAACAGCTGGGGATGTTAGCAGGGACTTCCAGAAGATAAGGTGGCCATGTGAGGCTTAATAATTTCTCCACATATTCTGGAAGAACCAAGGCTGTCTTGGGTCTATGTTGTCGTGCACAGGATAGTCTAAAGTAGGCCTAGGCCACTGACATATCCCTGGCTGATGAAACCTGAGTATATGCTTGCAGGAGACGTGAGAGGATCTATCAGAAAATTAAAGCAGGGAAGAGTCAAAAGCATTCTAATGTATGAAAGTGGCCTCTAGCCTGCATTTATATCCATCAGAAAAAAATGGAAAACTTGGAGGCATTTGGGCACAACCTCTTAAAATCTCTGCCTATGAAGATGCAGGCAATTTCTATGCATCCCAACATAAAATTAAAACAAAAAAAACTATATATATATAAGAGGCATCAAGAGCTGCACATTGTGGGGAGAGATATTTCTCAGATTTGGTCCAAGCAAAGTTCAATGTTTATTGGTATATAAGTAAATAACAACAGCAACTCTCAGAGGGAGGGGTGTGTCACAGCCCAGAGGTGATTCAATATAACATCTGAAATGTCCATGAAGAATGTCATTAGTATTTTGATAGGGGTTACATTGAATCTGTAAATTGTTTTGAGTAGTATTATCATTTTAACATTATTAGTTCTTCCAATCCACGAGTATGGAATAGCTTTCTTTCTTCCTTTCTTTCTTTATATCCTCTTCAGTTTCTTCCCTCACTATTTCATAGTTTTCCTTGTATAGATCTTCCACTTCTTTTTTAGTTAAATTGATCTCTAGGTTTTTTGCTTGTTTGTTTCATTTTTGAGATGGAGTCTCACTCTGTCACTCAGGCTGGAGTGTAGTAGCATGATCTCAGCTCACTGCAACTTCTACCTTCCAGGTTCAAGCGATCCTCCAGCCTCAGTCTCCCAAGTAGCTGGGATTATAGGCATATGCCCCCATGCCTATTTGTTGTACTTTTAGTAGAAACAGGGTTTCACCATGTTGGCCAGGCTGGTCTCAAACTCCTGACCTCAAATGATCTGCCTGCCTCATCCTCCCAAACTATTAGGATTACAGGCGTGAGCCACCGCACCTGGCCTTTCTAGGTATTTCATATTCTTTGCAGCTACTGAAATGAGATTGCCTTCTTGATTTACTTTTCAGATTGTTTGCTGTTGGTGTATATAAATGCTATTGATTTTTGTTTGTTGATTTTGTATCCTAACTGAATTTTTTATCAATTGTCACATTTTTTGGTGAAATCTTTTGGTTTATCTAATTATAACATTATGTCATCTGCAAACAAAGCTAATTTTGATTTTTTTTCTTTTTAATTTGGATGACTGTAGTATTTTCTCTTGCCTAATTACTCTGGCCAGGGCTTCTGTTACTACACTGAATAAAAGCAGTGAACATGGGCATCATCATTTTGTTCCAGATCTTAGAGGAAATGCCTTTAGATTTTCCCTGTTCAGTGCAATGCTAGCTATGGTTTTGTCATATATGGCCTTTATTATTTTTGAAGTGTGTTCCCTCTATACCCACTTTGATGAAAGTTTTTACCATAAAGAGATGTTAAATTTTTAGCAAATGTTTTTTCTGTGTCTGTTGAAATGATCACGGGGTTTTTGTTTTTGGTTCTGTTAATTTAATATTTCACATTTATTTGCATAAGTTGCACCATCCTTGCATTTCTGGGATGAATCCCACTTGACGATGGTGAATGATATTTTTAATTTGCTCTTGAGTTTGGTTTGCTAGTATTTTATTGAGAGTTTTTGCATGTATATTCACTAGTGATATTGGTCTATAGTTTTCTTTTTGTGTGTGTCCTTGTCTGGTTTTGATATTAGGATAATCCTAAACTAGAATGAGTGCGGAAGTATTCCCTACTCTTTAACCTTTATAAAGAATTTGAGTAAAATCGGTATAGTTCTTTAAATATTTGGTAGAATTCAGCAGTGAAGCAATCAGGTTCTGAGCTTCCCTTTGATGGAATACTTTTCATTATGGCTTTAATCTTATTATTTGTTATTATTTTATTAAGATTTTCTGTTTCTTCATGGTTCAAACTTGGTAGGTTGTATGTGTCCAGGAATTTATCCATTACTTCTAGGTTTTCCAAATTTTTGGTATATCATTTGATATGGTTTGAATCTGTGTCCCCACCCAAATCTCATGCTCAATGGTAATCCCCAATGTTGGAGATGGGGTCTAGTGGATGGTAATTGGATCATGGAGGGGTGATTCCTTCATGAATGGGTTAGCATTATCTCTTTGGTGCATATCTTGTGATAGAGTTCTCAGAAGATCTGGTTGTTTAGAAGTGTGTAGCACCTCCCCACTCTCCCTTCCTTCTGCTCCAGCCATGTAAGATGTTCCTGCTTTCCCTTCACCTTCTGCCATGTTTTTAAGTTTCCTGAGGCCTACCCTGTTCATTTCCCCTGCTTGCACTCAGTTTCTATTCTGCTGCCCTATAAAGAGGTGCCTTCTGCCATGATTGTAAGTTTCCTGAGGACTTGCCAGCATTGCAGAACTGTGAGTCAATTAAATCTCTATTTTTTAATAAATTATCCAGTCTCAGGTATTTCTTCATAGAAGCATGAGGACAGACTAATACAATATGCAAAGAAAAAAAGTATGATGAATATTCAAGAAATGAAAAAAAGAAAAAAACAACTGTTAATAGAAACTTTCTCTGAGTGTCTCCAGATGTTGGATTTTTGCACACAAATATTTTAAAGTAACTATGATACATTATTTGAAGAACAACAGAAAATCATGTTTAAAGAATTAAAAAAAAGTATGACAACAAATCAACAAACACACACTCTCAGCCCAAAGACAGAAATTATTTTAAAAATAAAAATTTAGGAGATAAAAAAATGTTAACAACTAAAATGAAAAGTTCACTAGAAAGGCTTAACACTATATTTGATATGGCATAAGAAATTATTAGTGAAGTTGAATATAGATCAATAAAATTATCCAATCTGAAGCACAGAGCGGTATATTAGTCTGTTCTCACACTGCTACAAAAAACTACCAGAGAATGGATAATTTATCAAGAAAAGAGGTATAATTGATTCAGAGTCCCATGGGTTGTACAGGAAGCATAGCTGGGAGGCCTCAGGAAATGTACAGTCATGGCAGAAGGTGAAAGGGAAGCAAACACATCTTACCATGGCAGAGCGAGAGAGAGAGAGAGAGAGTGAAGGGGGGAGCACTACATACTTTCAAACAACCAGATCTCATGAGAACTCCCTCACTATATCAAGATAACAGCAAGGGGGAAATCCACCCCCATGATCCAATAACCTTCCACCAGGCCTCTCCTCCAATTCAACATGAGACTGGGGCAAGGACACAAATCCAAACCATATCATTCCACCCCTGGCCCCTCCCAAATCTCATGTCATTCTCACATCACTAAATACAATTATTCCTGCTCCACAGTTCCCCAGTCTTAACTCATTTCAGCATTAATTCAAAAGTCCATAGTCCAAAGTCCCATCTGAGACAAGGCAAGTCCCTTCCACCTATGATCCTGTAAAATCAAAAAACAAGTTAGTTACTTCCAAGATGCAATGGGGGTACAGGTATGGGTAAATATTCTTATTCCAAATGGGAGAAATTGGCCAAAACAAAGTTGCTACAGGCCCCATTAAGTCAAAGATGATTATTTTGGCAGGGCAGCCATTAAATCTTAAAGCTCCAAAATAATCTCCTTTGTCTCCATGTCTTGCATACAGGGCATGCTGATGCAAGAGGTGGGGTCCCAAAGCCTTGGGCAGCTCCGTTCCTGTGCAGGGCACAGCCCCCACAGCTGCTTTCATGGGCTGGCGTTGGATGCCGGTGGCTTTTCCTGGTGTACAATGCAACCTGTCAATAGATCTACCATTCTGGGATCTGAAGGATGGGGGGACCTCTTCTAACAGCTCCATTTAGCAGTACCCAACTGGGGATTCTGCTTGGGCGCTCCAACCCCACATTTTCCCTCTGCACTGGTAGAGGTTCTCATGAGGGCTCCACCTCTGCTGCAGACTTCTGCCTGGACATCCAGGCATTTTCATACATCATCTGAAATCCAGGAAGAGACTCCAAAACTCTTCCCTTCTGCCCACACACAGGCCCAACACCATGTGGAAGCCACCAAGGCTTGGGGCTTTCATTCTTTGAAGCCACAGCCCGAGCTGTTCCTGGGCTCCTTTTAGCCACTGCTGGAGCTGGAGTGGCCAGGTTGCCAGGTGCCATGTCCAGAGCAGCTGGGCCCTGGGCCTTGCTCATGAAAACACTTTTCCCTCCTAGACCTCTGGGCTTGTGATGGGAAACATTCTGTGCCTAGGAGGTCTCTGACATATCCTAGAGATATTTTCCCCATTGTCTTGGTGATTAACATTTGGTTCCTCTTATGCAAATATCTGCAGCAGGTTTGAATATCTCCCCAGAAAATGGGTTTTTATTTTCTATCACACAGCTGAGCTGCAAATTTTTCAAACATCTATACTCTATTTTCCTTTTAAGAATAAATTCCAAATTTAGACAATCTCTTTGTGAACACACACAACTGTATGCTGTTAGGAGCAACCAGGCCACATCTTGAATGCTTTGCTGCTTAGAAATTTTTCCCACCAGATACCCTAAATAATCCCTCTCAACTTCAAAGTTCTACAGGCCCCTAGACCAGGGACACAATGCTGCCAGTGTCTTTGCCAAAGCATAGCAAGAGTGTCCTTTACTCTAGTTCCCAATAAGTTCCTCATCTCCGTCTGAGACCACCTCAGCCTGGACTTCATTGTCCATATTAGTATCAGCATTTTGGTCAAATCATTCAATGAGTCTATACAAAATTCCAAACTTTCCCTCATCTTTCTGTCTGTCTTCTTCTGAGCCCTCCAAACTGTTCCAACCTCTGCCCATTACACAGTTCCAAAGTTGCTTCCACATTTTCAGGTTTCTGTATAGCAGTACCCCACTCCTGGTACCAATTTTCTGTATTAGTTCATTCTTACACTCCTATAAAGAACTACCTGAGACTTGGTAATTTATGAAGAAAGTGGTTTAAATGATTCACGGCTCAATGTGCTGTACAGGAAGCATGGCTAGGAGGTCTCAGGATACTTACAATCATGGCAGAAGGTGAAGGAGAAGCAAGCACATCTTACCATGGCAGAGCAGGAGAGAGAGAGCATGAAGGGAGAAATGCCACACATTTTCAAACAACCAGATCTCATGAAAATGCACTCACTATCACAAGAACAGCAAGGAAGAAATCCACCCCCATGACCCCCCCAACATGTCCCACCAGGTCCTTCCTCCAATTTGACATGAGATTTGTGCGGAGACACAAATCCAAACCATATCAAGAGGGAAAAAAGATGAAGTAAACAAATTCTTGGAGACCTGAGAAAACATGAAACACAGACATGTACTGCAAGTTCCAGAAGTAGTAAAAAGATAGAGAAGAGTAAAAAATTTGACAAAAATATCTTAAATTTGATGAAAATTATTAACTAAAAAACTAAGAAGCTCCACAAAATCTAAGTAGAGTAAACATAGAGTCACACCTTGACATACCTTGGTCAAATGATTGAAAGACAAAGAGAAAGAGAAACCTTGGGAATAGCAAAAGAAAAATGACTCAACACATACAGAAGAAGCACAATGTGATAAATAGCTGACTTCTCATCCAAAATAATAGGAACCAAAAGGCATTGGAATTACATATTCAAAATGCCAAAAGAAAAAAATGTCAAGCCAGCATTCTACATTCAGCAACTTTCTTTTACTATTAATGTGAAAGGAAAACATTCCAAGAAAAACAAAAACTAAGAAAAATTCACTCCTGTTACACATGACTTAACAAAATCACTGAAATAAATCTAAGCTGAAAGGAAGTGATACCAGAGGGTGTAGCTAAAATCCCAAAGTAGAAATGAAGAACACTGGGAATAGTAAAGGCTTTGGTAAATAAAAAGCTCTGTGAATGTACATTTTAATAATATAAATAAAGAAAAACTTATAGATTGTATATGTATAAAATATATATGTAACATTATATAAGAGTATTAGTCCAAGGGAGAGACAAATAGAAGATATATTGGAAAAAAATTGTATTAATATATTTTATTGCAATAAAGTAAATGAAGTAAATTGGGTTTATGGGTAAATTGGGTTTATGTTAAGATACATATTGTAATTCTGAAAGAAACAGCAAAGAAAATACTAAAACTATACAGTAGGAAATCATCAGAAAACTTGAATTGACATATGCAAAATATTGGCTTTAAAAAGCAATAGAGGAGAGGCTGGGTGCGGTGGCTCACACCTGTAATCCCAGCATTTTGGGAGGCCTAGACTGGTGGATCACGAGGTCAGGAAATCGAGACCATCCTGACTAACATGGTGAAGCCCCGTCTCTACTAAAAATACAGAAAAAACATTAGCCAGGCGTGGTAGCGGGCACCTGTAGTCCCAGCCACTCGGGAGGCTGAGGCAGGAGAATGGCGTGAACCCCAGAGGCGGAACTTGCAGTGAACTGAGATCACGCCACTGCACTCCAGCCTGGGCGACAGAGCGAGACTCCGTCTCAAAACAAAACAAAACAAAAAGCAATAGAGGAGAAACAGGGAAACCAAAAATAAGACAAATGGTAAACAAGTATCAAAGTAGTGTTAAAACCAAACACAACAATAATTACATTAAACATGAATGGTCTACCGTTCAAACCTCATTCAAATGGTAAAGATTGCTAAACTGAGTAAAAAAGCAAGCGACATAGACATTATATAACATAAAATGTAAAGTGGCATTACATGGCATAAGAAATTAGTGAACTTGAATATTGATCAATAAAAATTATATAATATAAAGAAAAGGCCAAAAAAAGTGAAAAGAGCCTTAGAGAAATATGAGAAAAAGCCAAGCCCACTAAATGTTGTCTACAAGAGGAACACATTAGATTGAAAGACATAAATTGGTTGAAAAGAAAATAATGGAAAAAATACAACATATATTATACAAATAATTACCATGAAAGAGATGAACTGATTACATTAATTTTACACAAAATACATTTTAAAACAAATATTGCTAGAGTTAAAGAGGGATATTTCATAAGGATGAAACATTAATACATTAGAAAATTTTAAAAATATGAATGTATAAAACCTCACAAAAAAGTCCTGAAATACATAAAGGAAAAACTTACAGAATTCAAAGGAGAAATAGACAAATATTAAGAATAGTTGAAAATGTCAACGCTTCACTCCCAAATAATAATAGAAAAACTAGAAAGGAAATCAACAGGGACATAGAAAATTTAAATAACTCTGTCAAACAGCCTGTTTCAACCAATATTAATCAAACACATCAACCAAAATCTGCAGAATAAACTTTTTTTCATACACACATAGAACATTATTGAGAATAGGCCAGTTTCTGGGCCATAAAACAATTCTCAATGAATTGAAAAGATTGAAAAGTATACAGAGTATGTTCTCTGACCACTCAAGATTAAATTGGAAATTCGTGATAGAAGCAAATCTGAAACAATCATAATATTTGGACCTTAAATAATATACTTTGTAAAATCCATGAGTCAAAGTAGAAATTAAGGAGTAGCTTATACTATTGAAATTATGAACACATACACAACATATCAAAATTTATGGAGGCAGTTAAGGTCGTACAGGGAAATCTGTAGCTTTAAATGTACAAGTTAGAAAAGAAAAGAAAAAAAGGATCACAAGTCAAATGACCTGTTTCCACCTTAACAAATTATAAAAAGGGGAGCAAACTACATATAAAGCAAGAAAAGCTAAAGAAACAATAAAGATTAGAGTAAAAATGTAACAGAAAACAGAAATATAATGATAAAATCAATGAAACCAAACGTTTATTCTTTTTAAACATAAAAATTTTACAAACTCTCAGTAAGAATGACTAATAAAATAAAATAAGTAACAAATTATCAAAATCACTAATGAAAAAAGGATATTACAGCCTTCTCCATAAAAACTAAAAAGTTTATAAGGAAATATTAGCTTAACTGTATTCCAACAAATTAGACAAGTTAGAGTATATGGACAAATTCCTAGAAAGGCACACTTTACTGGAAATCACCCAGAAGAAAAAATAATAATCTCAATAGACGTAACAAGTAAGGAAGTTGATTTATCAATTAAAAATACTCCTTCAGAGAAAAGTTTATACCCAAGGGGTTTCACTGGTTAATTACACCCAAACATTTAAAGAAGACCATTCCTTCACAGTCATCCCAGGAAATACAATAGAAACAAATACTTCACTAGTCATAGTATAGGAGCAGTATTATCTCGACACCAAAACCTTACAAAAGCATTATCAGGAAGAGAATACTTCTGACCTGTGATCATCACAGAGATTCAAAAATATTAAACAAAAAAAAAAAAGAACTTAGCAAACTGAATTCAGAAACATATAATAAAAATTATTCGACATGACCAAGTGGAGTTTATATCATGAATACAAGGTTTATTAAACATTTGAAATCACTTACAATAATAGACCATTCATATTAATAAAATAAAGGGAAAAATTTACATGACTATCCCCATGGATGAAGCATAAGCTTGTGAAAAAATGTAACATCCTTTCATAATAAAATCTCACAAGCTGGGCATAGTGGCTCATGCCTGTCCTCCCAGCACTTTGGGAGTCTAAGGCAAGGGGATCACTTGAGACCAGGAGTTTGAGGCTGCAGCGAGCCATGATCATGCCACTGCCCTCCAGCCTGGGTGACAGAGTGAGATCCCAAACCCCCACCCCCCAAAAATCTCGCTATAGACAAGAAAAAGTTGAAATTTTCCTTAACCTAACAATAGAAAAAACAAACAAACAAACAAACAACAAAAAGAAACCCTTCATCTAACGTCATACTTAATGGTGAAAAACTGAATCCTTTCCCCAAGATTAGGAACAAGGCAAGGATGTTCTAGTATGCTCTCTCCACTTCTAGTCAACATTGCATTGACAATTCTAACCAGTACATTAAGGCAAAGAAGAATAACAAGCTTGTATATACTAAGAAAGATGTACATATGACTTCACCAAAGAAAGTACAAATGGATAATAGGCACATGAAAAGCTGCTAGAAACACTAAATAAGTCATTAAGGAGAAGGAGGAAGAGAAAAGAAATGAGCAAAAAGCAAGAGAAGAAAAAGAGGATGAAGAGAAGAGACAGAAAAGAGAGAGAAGGAGGAAAAGGAGAAAATAAAAGCAAGCAGAGGAAGAGATGGAGAAGAAAGGGAAAAGAGAAGGAGAAGGAGAAGGAGAAGGCGAAGGGATAGAGAGCTTAATTAAAGAGATTCAGATCTAAAGAAATAAAATTGTGTTTATTCACAGGTAACATAATTTTACAGGTAGAGAATCTTGCAGAATAAGCATACACACACACACACATACACACACAGAGAGACACTATCTACAGAATAAGCAAATAAATTTAGCAGATACAAGATCAATACACACAAAATCTATATATATTCCACATAGTAGCAATGAGCAATCAGGAAATAAAAAAATAAAATTCTACTCAGAATATCACAAAAAGAATCATATAGTTAGGAAAAAATTAACACAAGATGTATATGATTTCCACACTAAATACCATATATTACTTCCAAAATAAATTAAATTTAAACAAACAGACATTCCATGTTCATGGATTAAAAGGCTCGATAGTGTTAAGATGCAGTTTCCCCCAAATAGATGTCTAGATTGAATGCAATCCTTGTTAAAACCCCAGCAGAATTTTTTTTTAGAAAATAGCAACATTTTATGAACGTGCAAAGGTTTCAGATAGCCCAATAATTCTTCAAAAAAAGAACAAATTTGGAGGACTTATATTACCAGATTTCAAAACTTACTATAAAATGACAGTATAGAATATACATGTGGTATTGGCATAAGAAACTAAATTAAGAGTCCAGAAACAAACCCTTATATTTATGAGTAATTATTTTTGACAAAGGCGATTTAACTGTCTTCCCAATGAATAGTGCTTGTATAATTAGATATCCACAAGCAAAAAGGTGCATTTAGATGCTTACTTAACATTGCACACAGAAATTAACTCAAAATGAATTATCAGCCTAAATGTAAAAGCCGAAACTGTAAAACTCTTCAAAGAAAATACAAGAATAACATTTCAAGACTTTGAGTTAGGCAAAGATACAATACCGAAGCTTAAGCCATAAAAGAAAATATGATAAACTGTATTTCATTAAAATGAAAAACATTTGCACTTCAAAAGACATCATCAAGAAAATGAAAAGACAACGCATAGCCTGAGGAAAAATATTTGGAAAATATATATCTGATAAAGGACTTTCCTCCACAATATATATTATAAAGCATAGTATGTAATATATAATTTAATAGCATCATATAATACCATAAAATAGTATTATATGATACATATGATCATTCAAAACTGAAAAGACAAATGACCAATTTTCTTAAAATTGGCAAAGCTTGTGTATTCCAAGAACGATGTACACATGGCTTCACCAAAGAAGGCACAAATGGATAATAAGCACATGGAAAGCTACCATACGTTATGTCACTGAGAAAATGTCATTAAACACACGAGGTACATTACAAACCCACTAGAATGATTATAATCAAAAAGTCTGACCATACTTAATTTTGGCAGGGTTGTGGAGAAAATAGAACCACCACACATTGCTGGTAGAAATGTAAAGTGGTGTAGCCACTTTGGAAAACAGGTTGACAGTTTCTTAAAAAGTAAAATGTAAACTTACCATATGACCCAGCAATTTTGCCCTCAGTAATCTGCCCAAGAGAAATGAAAATGTGTCCACACAACGATTTTAACACGAATGATCATAAAGCACATTTATTAATAGCCAAAAACTAAACAATCCAAATAGCAGATGATAAATGGATAATATGACCAAATGTGTTCTATATCCATACAATGAATTATTCAGCATTATAAAGGAATGAAACATTGATACAAACTACAATATATATGAACCTCAAAAACAATACACTAAGTGAAAGAAGCCAGACACAGAAGACTACATACTGTATGATTATATTTATATAAAATGTCCAGGAAAAAAAAAAAGCAGAGATAGAAAGCAGATAAGAAGATGTCTCTGGCAGTGGAGGTGGGTGAAGTTACAGTGGAGACTGACTACAAATGAGCTCAAGAGAAGTTTCTGAGACTGATAAAAATTCTATAACTGGATTATGGTGACAGTTGCACAATTCCATAAATTCAGTAAACATCATTGATTTGCATACATACAAAACATAAATAAGACACAGTTCCTCAACTGTCACCCTAACCCATTTTGGTGGATTCAGACTGAGGTAAACAGCTATGGTCTTACACAGAAGCAATGAAACCAACTTTTTAAAAAATTTGGACAATACTGGAACTTAAGTCCAATATTAAAAAACAACAAATTATTACGTGCAAATCCAATCAATATTATTGGAAACAATACAAATAAGAGTTTTGTAAATGTCCCAAAATATCTAAATGACATTTCATCTCTCCCTAAAAGAATATTGGGTAATTGATGACAGTTAGGTTTTGAAGCTAGGTTAGCTCAGTTGATCATCGTTCACTGAGAACCTAATGGATGATGAGGACTGTGGGAATTCTGAGGATTCAAATGTGACAAAGTTCAGCCTCTTTAACATGTCCGCTCTACTAAGTACTATATGGACCTTAGGTGAAATGCTTGATCTCTCTGGGTGCCAGTTCTCCTATCTGTACTATATGGACTTTGGGTGAAATGCTTGACCTCTCTGGGTGCCAGTTCTCCTATCTGTACTATATGGACCTTGGGAGAAATGCTTGATCTCTCTGACTTCCAGTTCTCCTACCTGTAAAAGAGGCATTAAATGAAAGAAACACATGTGAACTCTAGAGCAGGCACTTAAAAAATGTTTCCTCCTGCAGGGCGTGGTGGCTCGGGCCTCTAATCCCAGCACTTCGAGAGGCTGAGAGTGGGGGATCACCTGAGGTCAGGAGTTTGAGATCAGCCTGGCCAACATGGTGAAACCCCGTCTCTACTAAAAATACAAAAAATTAGCTGGGTGTGGTGGCACATGCCTTTAATACCAGCTACTCGGAGGCTGAGGCAGGAGAATCACCTGAACTTGGGAGGCGGAAGTTGCAGCGAGCCGAGATCGTGCCATTGCACCCCAGCCTGGGCAACAAGAGTGAAACTCTGTCTCAAAAAAAAAAAAAAAAAATTTCCTCCCACCTACATTTCTAAAATAAATGGGAAGTTGAGGAGATACAGGCTTGTGGTTAAAATAATTGTGCCTTTTTCCAGAGAGTTGAAACTAAATGCTGGCTTCATTACAGGGATTTGGAAAAAGTAACAGATGTTCTCTGATGAGAAACCTGCTGAGATAAACCATCCAAGTGTCCAACCAGGTAAATGGAATGGGCCATGATTGACACTATTTCTTACCTGTGGAGTTTCACTGCTGCTTCCAAATTTGGAGCTTTGTTTCTGAAAAGAGACACAACAGAATGTCAAAGAGCTGATCCTCCCAAAGCCACGAAGCTGTCTGGTGTTCCTGGATTCCCTGAGATTCAGAGTTCCCAGGATGGGAAACAGAACTATTGCTAGGAAATACAGTGGGCACAGGAGAAGTGAAAGATCCTAGGAAGGGGAGAGAGAGAAATGCCTGACACTTCAGTCAGGGCACTGCAAAACCCTGAGGAGAGACAAAATCCTTAGGAGGGAGGCATCCTGAGGTGCACAATTAAACCCAACTGAACAAATGTTTTTTGGAAGCTTAATTTTGTCCAAAATTGTTCCAGGATGTGAAGCTGTAGAGTCAAAAATAAGTCCTTCCTTTAAGAAGCTCATAGATGTTTAGGGTCTATGGATGTTAACAAATAATTATATAGTTCTAGGCAGTTCCAAGATGGCCAAATAGAACAGCTCCAGTCTACAGCTCCCAGTGTGAGAGACGCAGAAGACGGGTGATTTCTGCACTTCCAACTGAGGTACCGGGTTCATCTCACTGGGGCTTGTCGGACAGCGGGTGCAGCGCACCAAGCATGAGCCGAAGCAGGGTGAGGCATTGCCTCACATAGGAAGCACAAGGGGTCAGGGAATTCCCTTTCCTAGCCAAGCAACACTGTGACAAAAGGCACCTGGAAAATCGGGTCACTCCCACCCAAATACTGTGCTTTTCCAATGGTCTTACCAAATGGCACACCAGGAGATTATATCCTGTGCATGGTTCAGAGGGTCCCACGCCCACGGAGCCTCGCTCACTGCTAGCACAGCAGTTTGAGATCAAACTGCAAGGTGGCAGCAAAGCTGGGGGAGGGGCACCCACCATTGCTGAGGCTTGATAGGTAAAAAAAGAGGCCAGGAAGCTCGAACTGGGTGGATCCCACCACAGCTCAAGGAGGCCTGCCTGCCTCTGTAGACTCCACCTCTGGGGGCAGGGCATAGCCGAACAAAAGGCAGCAAAAACCTACCTCTGCAGACTTAAATGTCCCTGTCTGACAGTTTTGAAGAGAGTACTGGTTCTCCCAGCACGGAGTTTGAGATCTGAGAATGGACAGACTGCCTCCTCAAGTGGGTCCCTGACCCCCAAGTAGCCTAACTGGGAGGCAACCCCAAGTAGGGGCAGACTGACACCACACACAGCTGGGTACCCCTCTGAGACGAAACTTCCAGAGGAATGATCAGACAGCAACATTTGCTGTTCAGCAATATGTTCTGCAGCCTCCGCTGCTGATACCCAGGCAAACAGGGCCTGGAGTGGACCTCCAGCAAACTCCAACAGACCTGCAGCTGAGGGTCCTGACTGTTAGAAGGAAAACCAATGAACAGAAAGGACATCCACACCAAAACCCCATCTGTACGTCACCATCATCAAAGACCAAAGGTAGATAAAACAACAAAGATGTGGAAAAAAACAGAGCAGAAAAACTGAAAATCCTAAAAATCAGAGCACTTCTCCTCCTCCAAAGGAAGGCAGCTCCTCACCAGCAATGGAACAAAGCTGGATGGAGAATGACTTTGATGAGTTGAGAGAAGAAGGCTTCAGATGACCAAACTTCTCTGAGCTAAAGGAGGAAGTTCGAACCCATCTCAAAGAAGTTAAAAACCTTGAAAAAAGATTAGACAAATGGATAACTAGAATAACCAATGTAGAGAAGGCCTTAAATGACCTGATGGAGCTGAAAACCATGGCACGAGAACTACATGACAAACGCACAAGCTTCATTAGCCGATTCAATCAGCTGGAAGAAAGGGTATCAGTGATGGAAGATCAAATGAATGAAATCAAGCGAGAAGAGAACTTTAGAGATAAAAGAATAAAAAGAAATGAACAAAGCCTCCAAGAAATATGGGGCTGTATGAAAAGACCAAATCTATGTCTGATTGGTGTATCTAAAAGTGACGGGAGAATGGAACCAAGTTGGGAAACACTCTGCAGGATATTATCCAGGAGAAGTTCCCCAACCCAGCAAGGCAGGCCAACATTCAAATTCAGGAAATACAGAGAATGCCATAAAGATACTCCTCGAGAAGTGCAACTCAAAGACACATAATTGTCAGGTTCACTAAAGTTGAAATGAAGGAAAAAAATGTTAAGGGCAGCCAGAGGGAAAGGCTGGGTTACCCACAAAGGGAAGCCGATCAGACTGACAGCTGATCTCTTGGCAGAAACTCTACAAGCCAGAAGCGAGTGGGGGCCAATATTCAACATTCTTAAAGAAAAGAATTTTCAACCCAGATTTTCATATCCAGCCAAACTAAGCTTCATAAGTGAAGAAGAAATAGAATCCTTCACAGACAAACAAACGCTGAGAGATTTTGTCACCACCAGGCCTGCCCTAAAAGAGCTCCTGAAGGAAGCACTAAACATGGAAAGGAACAACCGGTGCCAGCCACTGCAAAAACATGCCAAATTGTAAAGACCATCAATGCTAGGAAGAAACTGCATCAACTAACGAGCACAATAACCAGCTAATATCATAATGACATGATCAAATTCACACATAACAATATTAACCTTAAATGTAAATGGGCTAAATGCTCCAATTAAAAGACACAGACGGGCAAATTGGATAAAGAGTCAAGACCCATCAGTGTGTCGTATTCAGGAAACCCATCTCATGTGCAGAGACACACATAGGCTCAAAATAAAGAGATGGAGGAAGATCTACCAAGCAAATGGAAAACAAAAAAAGGCAGGGGTTGCAATCCTAGTCTCTCATAAAACAGACTTTAAACCAACAAAGATCAAAAGAGACAAAGAAGGCCATTACATAATGGTAAAGGGAGCAATTCAACAAGAAGAGCTAATTATCCTACATATATATGCACCCAATACAGGAGCACCCAGATTCATAAAGCAAGCCCTTAGAGACTCACAAAGAGACTTAGACTCCCACACAATAATAATGGGAGACTTTAACACCCCTCTGTCAACATTAGACAGACCCACGAGACAGAAAGTTAACAAGGATATCCAGGAACTGAACTCAGTTCTGCACCAAGTGGACCTAATAGACATCTACAGAACTTTCCACCCCAAATCAACAGAATATACATTCTTCTCAGCACCACATCGCACTTATTCCAAAATTGACCACATAGTTGGAAGTAAAGCACTCCTCAGCAAATGTAAAAGAGGAGAAATTATAACAAAAATCAAACTAGAACTCAGGATTAAGAAACAGACGCAAAACCGCTCAACTACATGGAAACTGAACAACCTTCGTCTGAATGACTACTGAGTACATAAGGAAATGAAGGCAGAAATAAAGATGTTCTTTGAAACCAATGCGAACAAAGACACAACATACCAGAATCTCTGGGACACATTTAAGACAGTGTGTAGAGGGAAATTTATAGCACTAAATGCCCACAAGAGAAAGCAGGAAAGATCTAAAATTGACACCCTAACATCACAATTAAAAGAACTAGAGAAGCAAGAGCAAACACATTCAAAACCTAGCAGAAGGCAAGAAATAACTAAGATCAGAGCAGAAATGAAGCAGATAGAGACACAAAAAACCCTCCAAAAAATCAATGAATCCAGGAGCTGGTTTTTTGAAAAGATCAACAAAATTGATAGACCACTAGCAAGACTAATAAAGAAAAGAGAAGAATCAAATAGATGCAATAAAAAATGATAAAGAGGATATCACCACCAATCCCACAGAAATACAAACTACCATCAGAGAATACTATAAACACCTCTATGAAAATAAACTAGAAAATCTAGAAGAAATGGATAAATTCCTTGACACATACACCCTCCCAAGACTAAACCAGGAAGAAGTTGAATCTCTGAATAGACCAATAACAGGCTCTGAAATTGAGGCAATAATTAATAGCTTACCAACCAAAAAAGTCCAGGACCAGATGGCTTCACAGCCGAATTCTACCAGAGGTACAAGGAGGAACTGGTACCATTCCTTCTGAAACTATTCCAATCAATAGAAAAAGAGGGAATCCTCCCTAACTCATTTTATGAGGCCAGCATCATCCTGATACCAAAGCCTGGCAGAGACACAACAAAAAAAAAGAATTTTAGACCAATATCCCTGATGAACATCGATGCAAAAATCCTCAATAAAATACTGGCAAACCGAATCCAGCAGCACATCAAAAAGCTTATCCACCATGATCAAGTGGGCTTCATCCCTGGGACACAAGGCTGGTTCAACGTATGCAAATCAATAAACGTAATCCAGCATATAAACAGAACCAAAGACAAAAACCACATGATTATCTCAATAGATGTAGAAAAGGCCTTTGACAAAATTCAACAGCACTTCATGCTAAAAATTCTCAATAAATTAGGTATTGATGGGACATATCTCAAAATAATAAGAGCTATTTATGACAAACCCACAGCCAATATCATACTGAATGGGCAAAAACTGGAAGCATTCCCTTTGAAAACTGGCACAAGACAGGGATGCCCTCTCTCACCACTCCTATTTAACATAGTGTTGGAAGTTCTGGCCAGGGCAATCAGGCAGGAGAAAGAAATAAAGGGTGTTCAATAAGGAAAAAAGGAATTCAAAATGTCCCTGTTTGCAGATGACATGATTGTATATCTAGAAAACCCCATCATCCCAGCCCAAAATCTCCTTAAGCTGATAAGCAACTTCAGCAAAGTCTCAGGATACAAAATCAATGGCAAAAATCACAAGCATTCTTATACACCAATAACAGACAAACAGAGAGCCAAATCACAAGTGAACTCCCATTCACAATTGCTTCAAAGAGAATAAAATACCTAGGAATCCAACTTACAAGGGATGTGAAAGACCTCTTCAAGGAGAACTACAAACCACTGCTCAAGGAAATAAAAGAGGATACAAACAAATGGAAGAACATTCCATGCTCATGGGTAGGAAGAATCAATATCATGAAAATGGCCATACTGCCCAAGGTAATTTATAGATTCAATGCCATCCCCATCAAGCTACCAATGACTTTCTTCACAGAATTGGAAAAAACTACTTTAAAGTTCATATGGAACCAAAAAAGAGCCCACATTGCCAAGTCAATCCTAAGCCAAAAGAACAAAGCGGGAGGCCTCACACTACCTGACTTCAAACTATACTACAAGGCTACAGTAACCAAAACAGCATGGTACTGCTACCAAAATAGAGATACAGACCAATGGAACAGAACAGAGCCCTCAGAAATAATACCACAATCTACAACTATCTGATCTTTGACAAACCTGACAAAAACAAGAAATGGGGAAAGGATTCCCTATTTAACAAATGGTGCTGGGAAAACTGGCTAGCCATATGTAGAAAGCTGAAACTGGATCCCTTCCTTACACCTTATACAAAAATCAATTCAAGATGGATTAAAGACTTACATGTTAGACCTAAAACCATAAAAACCCTAGAAGAAAACTGAGGCAATACCATTCAGGACATAGGTATGGGCAAGACTTCATGTCTAAAACACCAAAAGCAATGGCAACAAAAGCCAAAATTGACAAATGGGATCTAATTTAACTAAAGAGCTTCTGCACAGCAAAAGAAACTACCATCAGAGTGAACAGGCAACCTACAGAATGGGAGAAAATTTTTGCAATCTACTCATCTGACAAAGGGCTAATATCCAGAATCTACAAAGAACTCAAACAAATTTACAAGAAAAAAACAAACAACCCCACCAACAAGTGGGTGAAGGATATGAACAGACACTTCTCAAAAGAAGACACTTATGCAGCCAACAGACACATGAAAAAATGCTCATCATCACTGGCCATTAGAGAAATGCAAATCAAGACCACTATGAGATACCATGTCACACCAGTTAGAATGGCGATCATTAAAAAGTCAGGAAACAACAGGGGCCGGAGAGGATGTGGAGAAATAGGAACACTTTTACACTGTTGGTGGGACTGTAAACTAGTTCAACCATTGTGGAAGTCAGTGTGGCGATTCCTCAGGGATCTAGAACTAGAAATACCATTTGACCCAGCCATCCCATTACTAGGTATATACCCAAAGGATTGTAAATCATGCTGCTATAAAGACACATGCACACGTATGTTTATTGCAGCACTACTCACAATAGCAAAGGCTTGGAATAAACCCAAATGTCCAACAATGATAGACTGGATTAAGAAAATGTGGCACATATACACCATGGAATACTATGCAGCCATAAAAAAGGATGAGTTCATGTCCTTTGCAGGGACATGGATGAAGCTGGAAACCATCATTCTCAGCAAACTATCACAAGGACAAAAAACCAAACACCGCATGTTCTCACTCACAGGTAGGAATTGAACAATGAGAACACTTCGACACAGGAAGGGGAACATCACACACTGGGGCCTGTTGTGGGGTGGGGGGAGGGGGGAGGGATAGCATTAAGAGATTTACCTAATGTAAACGACGAGTTAATGGGTGCAGCACACCAACATGGCACATGTATACATATGTAACAAACCTGCACGTTGTGCACATACACCCTAGAACATAAAGTATAATAAAAATATATATAAAAAAATTATTATTATATATGTGAGAAATGCATTAATGGGAAATGTATAAGGAAGTAACAGTCACTTCTGATTCTGCTATCCAATTTTTGTAAATTCCAGCAATCAAAAAGGATTTTTTTGCATCAAGAAAAATTATCCAAACTTTAGAATATGGGAAATCCTTAGAACTGATTTAACAGTGCATTTTCCAGAGGAAATTATTTTGTGCTAATAATCAGAACTTTTTGGCTGGTAGTATTAGAAATACAAATCAAATTAGTTTTCACAAAATAGACAAGCTTCTAGCAAGATGAGGATACCACTGGGTCTCAGAGATGACCAGATGATTGTGTGGTCTCAAATACCACCCAGGCTTTTTCTCCAGCTCTCCTTGTATCTAGATAACAAATTCTTTCTTCCATATGGGCTTCCCTGATACAACTGAAACCATGAATGCTGGTAGCTTCAAGGTTTACATGTTTCGGGTTCTCCACCTCATATCTGCACCCTCTAAACCAATAAGAAAGTAACTGAAACGTGCACCCTCTAAACTTCACTCAAAATCAGAAGCATGATCACAACGTGAGTGGGTCACCATCCCCAAACCAATCAACTGTGACCAACAGTGTGAGGCCCTCAAAAACATGAAGTCCCACACCAGCACTGGATGGTTGGTCTGGAAGAAGAAAATTTCACGGAAGTAAGAGGGTACATTTCCCAGAAGAGGGGCAACCTCTGCACAAGCAGAAAAAGTAACACTTCTTCCCCACACTGTTTTTGCTTTAATTTCTGGTCTTTTTTCATGCTTATTGAATCCTGCCCTGACCCCATCTCCATTCAACCCTATTGCAAGTCTCCTCTATCACTTCATCCACATACTACGTGAAGCTGTTTTGAAAAATCAGGTTGTGGAAGCAGATGGCAACATGCCTTCTAGATTTTTGTGCACCTTTGGGAGTGTTTATTAAGACAGAGTTCACGAGGGGCTGAAGTGCTCATGAAGTGGGAGGCCAAGGAGGCAATTCCGGAGCAGCAAGTCAAACATGAAAGAAATGGAGTACAATGACACATTTTGTCATTAGAGGGGCACTTTAAGCGATCTGAAGAACACAACACTCCTGGCAGATATTTGAATAATCAACTTTCTTTAGCAAGTATAGACTCTCAGTGCTTCTGCTAATACATTACATTTAATCATTTTCCCTTTTACACATGATAGCACATTCACCACAAATAAGGAAGAGTAGTGATTATCTTTCCAGTGAAATATGGAGTAAAGCCATTTCTGCAATCCCAATGCCTTGTTTATCTGTAATAAGAGGAGCTCATGTGGATGCATGTGTGTTGAGGAGGGGCCATAGGCAATGTCAATCAATTGTATTCATAAACACAGCTTGGAGGCAGGCCCTGCATAACTTAGCCTCCCCCTGGCTTGCTGCTGCCACAAGCAGGCATGCTTTATGTTGCATTACCATTTTGATTGAACAAACAGGGTCAATAGCGGCACTTTTTCTCAGCCAAGGAAAGAAAATTATTCTGAATCCAATCATCAATCAATGCATGTAATCAGGCTGTTTAAAATAGCTTGAGCTCTCACATAACTGGTTATTCCTAGGAATACAGTTGAAAAAGCGATAGTTTGGGCTGACTTGTTAATCCTAGTACACCCTCACAAAAGTGTTAAAAGGCCAACAAAGACTCAACATATGCTCCACTATTAACAAGATTATGGCAAGAGAATCATTTGAGAAGTTAGAGAGTCTACCCTCTGAGACCTCTAGTATCTGCATTCATTTGCATATAATTGTTTATCCATTACTTTGCCACACCATACAGCTACACCATTTTTCTATAATTTCTAGAGGTTAATGGCTTTTTTTCCCCTCTAAATTCAAAGTCAACATAACTGACACTAAAGTCAAGAAAATGTTCTTTTCAGAGTGCTGTAACAACAGTTGGCAGTCTGTACATTGTGAAAAATGTATTTGATCAAGGAACTTTTGCTAGCAGCATGCCAATGGATCCACACTGATTTACTTGAGAAATAAAGGAATTAATCCTCATCTTCCATTTATGGATAGAAAGCCGTCTGAGACATCTTGCACCACACAAATCTCTGACTTGGCCTTCATACAGCCTTTTGTGAAAGCAAATATAATTACAGAGCAAAAGAGAGGAACAAAACAGCAGATTTTGAATCTCCCCCTGAATGGCCAGAAAAATGAGCAGGCAACTGGAGATGAGTGAGTTTCAATTGTAGCCATCATGTTCTGAATCCTCTGACTTGGCACAAGTGTTGGGGTCATCTGGACTGCGGGGCAAGATTGAATGATGCGGCTGGGCAAACCCACCCATCATTATTGGGATGTGTGCTCCTGGTGCAAACAATAGATATCTTTTATCCTTGCTCTCAACTATCACATATGTGCTTTCTGATTCACAAATTTCTCCAGGGGAAAACTGTTTCTAAAAATATTTCAACTGAGTACCTCAAGACTGAATAAGATAGATATATTTTAACATAGTTTTAAAACATGGTTGAGGCACAGGTAAACAAAGGGCAAAAATCAGAAACCATGGATGTGGAGAGCTGTGGCTGAGTGAACACTACAGTCAGAGAATGCTCTGAGGGCATCTGCTAATATGTGGGGGATGAGATTTGGCTTTATTTGGAATTTCTTTTAAGTGCAATTGAAATAAATATAACATTAGAAATACAATTTTCAGCGTACAATTCAGTGGCATTAATTGCATTCACACTGTTATGCAACTATCACTTCTATCTATTTCTATAACTTTTCCATCACCCCAAACAGAAACTCTATACCCATTAAATCATGGTCTAATCCATTTTTCTCTTCTCTGGCTCCTGATAGCCTCTAATTTACTTTCTGTCTCTAAGAATGTGCTTATTTTGAATATTTCATATATATGAAATAATAATATTTATCATTTTGTGGTTGGTTTATTTTACTTAACATAATGTTTTTAAGGCTTATCCATGTTGCAGCATGTATCAGAATCTCATTCTTTTTTAAGGCTTAATAGTATTCCATTGTATGCATGCACCACATTTTGTTTTGTTTATCCATTCATGCATCAATGGATACTTAGATTGTTTCCACATTTTGACTGCTGTGAATAATGCTCCCATGAATATTTATGTACAAATATCTGTTCAAATACCTGTTTTCAATTCATACATATATAACAGATTCAGCATTTTAATGGGTCACATTAAGTCAAGTAAAAGCAGACAAGGCCTGGAGTGCCAATATTAGGGAGACCCTAATAAACCTGAGCCCACCAAAGGACAACACTCTCAGTGAGTGAACTATGAACATAAGAACTTCTCCCTACAGAAGGTTTGCTATGTAGATCTTGGCTATGAATGTGTGGAACAGACAGACAAAAAAAAGGCAGTTGAGAGAATTCATAAGCTAGAACCCTAAACAACATGGGTTTGGGGCTACTATTCACACTATTTATGTGGCCTGAAAAACTTTAGCCACAAAGCTCTTGGGTTGATTGGGCCTTCAAGTAACCAGCAAAAACAAACACAGACATCCTTTATCAAACATAAATTTTCAAGAAACATGAACTAACAAGGAGAAACCATTAAACAAATATAGAAACAATTCATACACAAATAAAGCCAGCATAAAAAATGTAAACAAACTACAAAATCAACCCCAAAGGCTGAACTTATTCAAATCATCAGTTATTTTCCACGTCACCTGAAAAACAGAATTGAAGTCATTATCCAAAATGCATCAGGAGAACAGTGGCCCATTAAAATGCTGAGTATATAATATATATATAGTATAAAAATAGTATAAAATTTAGATAAAGATACAGAAGACATAGAATAACAAAACCCAATATATCTGGTTAGAGAACTAGGAGAGAACCTGCCCCCTCAACACACACACACCAAAAAAACCAAATAGGCAATATTTAGAGATATAATAGCAAAGAATTTTCTGAGTAGATGAAAGACAACAATTTTTAAATTCTAGAAAATAAACCTCAAACAGAATAAAGAACCAGAAATCAGTATCAAATCAAATTAGGATGCTCCTTAATGAAGCTGTAGAACTCAAAGAGACAAAGCATGCAAACAAAAAAATATATAGTTTACTTTTAGGAGAAGGACAATTTGACTGACATTCAACTTTTCAACAGCAAAAATATGGAAGGCAGTATTGCTGTGAGAACACAACTTTCAATCTAGATGTATATACTCAGCAATATTATTTTTAAATTAAGGTAGAATAAAAATGTTTACCTACAAATAAAAGTTGAAAGAGGTCACTAACAAGAGACTCTCACTAATGAAATACATCAAGGAAAAAAAGGAATAATGATATAATTCCAGAAGACAGATGCAAGAAGGAATTGTGTACAATTAACACTACATGTTATAGGTATATCTAAATGATTGTTTTGTCTAGAAAATAATACCAATAACCTCTATTTTGGATTGGAAAAAATCAAAATAGAACTAAAATCTTGAATTGCCTGTAAAAAGGGTATGGGTAAAAATTTACAAGTTTTAAGTACCTTGTCTTGTTTGGGAGAAAGATAAAGATTAGCATTAGATTTGTTGAGTCAAATACACATGCCAAAATTTCTAGAGTGATTGTGGTAGGCAGAATAAGGGCCTACCAAAGATGTCCATATCCTAATCCCAGGAACCTATAAATGCTACATTACATGGCAAAAGGAAATTGAGGTAGCAAATGAATTTAAGATGGCCAATCTGCTAACCTTAATATAAATTGATTATCCTAGATTATACAGGTGAGCATAAAGTAATCACTATCATCCTTAACTGTAGAAGAGCTACACAGAAGGGTTGGTGTCAGCATGATGCAATGTGGGGAAAGCTCTGTGGACCATTGCTGTCCTGAAAGATAGAAGTGGATCATGAGTCAAGGAATGCCAGCTGCCTTCAGAAGCCAGACAAGGCCAGAAAACAGATTATCTCCCAGCGCCTCCAAAAAGGAACACAGCCCTGCTGACACTTTGATTTTAGCCCAGTTTCTTTCAGACTTCAGACCTCCAGTACCATAAAACAATACATTTCTGTTGTTTTAAGTCACTAAGTTTGTGGTAAATTTGTTACAGCAAAAATAGGAAACTAATACAGCGACCACTTAAAAAATATAGAGAGATTATCAATCCCTAATTAGTGAAGAAAAAATAATTTAATCTGAGAAAAATAAATCTAAAAAATCCTAGAGAGATAGAAAAACCGGACAAATAGAGATACCAAAATAATACGCTGGAAATAAATTTACATATATGAAATATGCACTCAATGTTTATGTAAGAGGTTAAACTCATCAAACTGGATGTTTTATTATTTGTTTGTTGTTTAGAAACAGGGTCTCTCTCTGTCACATAGGCTGGAAGAATGCAGTGGTAGGATCACAACTCACTGAAACCTTGACCTCCTGGGTTCAAGTGATCCCCCTGCCTCAGCCTCCAAAGTAGCTAGGACTGCAGGAGTGCACCACCACACTCAGCTAATTTTTTAAGTGCTTTGTAGAGACAGGGTCTCACTATGTTGCCCAGACTGGTCTCAAGCTCCTGGGTTCAAGTGATCCTCCTGCCTCAGGCTCCCAACATGCTGAGATTATAGTTATGAGCCACTATGACCAGGCCAAACTGGATTTTTTAAAAATCCAACAATATTTTGTTTTCAAAAGACACACTGAAAACTAAAGTTCTTTGGAAAAACAAAATTGATAAACCTCTAGGAAAACTGTTCATGAAATAAGAGTAGAGACACTCAAATAACCAATATTAAAATTAAATTAAAGTTACAAATACAAAAGAGATTTTTAATAGGTAATAATCTATTATGAAATCTGTGTGTCAAAACAATTTAAAACTTAGGAAATGAAGGCATTCTAAAAAAACATACAAATTACAAATGTTATCTAATAAGAAATTTAAAATCTAAATTGTTTCTTAAACATCAACCAAATTCAATCAAGTAAATAGAATATTTTTCCACAAATAAAGCCATCATGCCTCCATGGGTTTAGAGACAGGTTCTAACAAAAATTCCAAGGACAGATAAGCATAAGGAAGATCATTTTGTATCTTTACACATTTTTAAGGAACACAAAAATATTACTCTTCAGCTCTTTTTATGAGGGTAGTAGAATCTTGATATCAAAACTAGACAAAGGGCAAAACAAGAAAGAAAATAGGAAAATCTCACTCATGTAATTAACTGCAAGTTCCTAAAAATAAAATATACATATGCATATTAAATTCAGCAATTAATATAAAAATATAATACATTATGATCAATTTCAGATCATCTGGGAATATAATTTTTAGAAACTATTAATGCAATTACCATATGATCACATCAACAAAGTAAATCCATATATGATTATCTCAATAGTTGCAGAAAATATATGCACAACAGTTTAACACTCTGTTTTCATAAAGTTAAAATCCTTAACAAACCATGAATAAAAGAAAATGTCCATATCCCGATTAAAAAGAAAATCTGCAAAAAACTTTAAATAGATATATTCTTAGCAGTGAAACGCTGATGCATTCTCTTTAACATGTAGGAAAAAAACGAAGATACCAACACCCTCCTTTTCTTTTCAATAGAGCACTGACAGGTGTAGTAAGACAAGAAGGAAATAAAAGTATGAGGATTGGAGAAGAGAAAGGAAGTATATCATTATCGGCAATCATAAGGCTATGTACATAGAAAATTCCAAATAAACAGATGCATAGATAGATAAATGTATTAATATTAAGATAAGACATTAATTAATTATGTTCCTGGACACAAGAAAAAATAAAAAATCAATGCATTTTTATATTCCAGCAAGAAACATAAATGCAAGTTTAAAACATCTCCATTTAAAATAGAAACAAAAATATAAGATACTTAGGAATAAATGCAACAAGTGATATGTAGATTCTTTATGTAGAAAATTATAAAATTTTATTTTAAACATTATAAAAGACTTACATAAAGATACATAACATATTCATGCATAAGAAGACTAAACAGTACTACAATTCTGACCAAATTGATTAATAACTTCATTGCAATTCTAATCAAATTCTCAACAGAGACCCCAGAACCAGAATATGCACACATGTGAAAAGAGGGTATGTTAAAAACCGGCATTGCCATTCAATTTGGATAAGATGGATCCGTCAATTAATTTTGCCGGGAAAATGATATAACCATGATAACCATGTAGAAAGAAAAAGAACGAAATCAAATCCCCACCTTTTGTCAGACACAAAAAAACAATACCCTGTAGATTAAAAACTGAAATACAAATATAAAACTTTAAAATATTTAGAAAAATAATCACTGAAAATATCATTATGGTTTCAAGGTGGTGAGCCTACCTCAAACAAAATGCAGAAAGTATTATTTGGAAAACAAAAGACAAATCATTTTGCCTACGTTAAGATTTTTTAATACTTTTGTTATCAGACATCCATACATGAGAAAGTGACAGGTGAATGGGAATTAAAGCCACACAAGATGTCATTTCGAGTCTTCCTCAGCACCTTCAACTACAGCCTGTCCACTTGTGCTTTCTCATTGCTTCTTGCCATGTGAGAACAATCTCGGGGCTGTGGACATGCACACACAACTGCCTTCTTCCTATGTCTGGTGGGTGCAGCAAGAGAGTTGTTCAATGTTACCAAAAAATGACAGACCATTTTCTAAAGTAGTTTACCCATTACCCAAACATCAACTTGCAGACATAAACATTTGCACTGATCTTGTCAACCTAAATAACAGAGAGAGACTCTCTAAAAGAAAATATTTATTTGGGAATGGACATGGCAATGGGAATACCCATGCCATAGTAAACTATGTACTGTTCAGGAAGGTAAAGAAAGACAAAGACTTCAAAAAGAAAAATGAGGAGGGTTATATAATCGTTTTGAGATATTTAACTTTGACTGCATGAATCAATAACAAGCGTGGTGTAAGTCCAAGTTTCCACAGGGAGTTGCTACGTGGATGTCCTCACAAAAGTATTTCTTGTGTTAGGTTGTGATGGCAGTTGTGCAAGGTTGTGGTTTTGGAGAGTCATTTGTAATACTTTTTATCAAGCATCCATGCGTGGGCTCCCTTCATGGGCTTCACTGTCTCTATTTTTCAGGTTTATGTTTTTTTTAATAACACAAGTGACTCCATTTTGATTCTGACAACTTTCACATTTTTCCCTTTAGGTCAAGATATTTTTCTGAAAACGTCACTGATCAATCACCCTGTAGTTAGGTTTTGATGGTCCCTCGCTCAGTAACAGGATATACCTGCCCCAGGTTGTTGGTCTGGTCCCATGTCAGAGGAAGTGATTGGCAACTAGGAGTCAGCATCAAAACCCTTTTAACAATTTTTAACAATATTTAACAATATTTCAGCAACAAGGTGGTTTGAAGGGAGTAGCTTTCAGGTTAAGTCTTCCTGGTGTCAGTTATTAAGTTCAATTTTTTCTGTTCTGCAGTCTTTTACGATCATCTCAATGTGCTGGGCCAGTATTATTCTGCTAGAAGTTGTACTTCTGCAGAAGTTTAACAAGTAACAGATAAAAAGTTTCAAAAGGAAAATCACAGTAAAATGATAATCTCCATTTGCATAATAGTTTTGAGCCATGAACTTAGGCCTAAAGGCAACCAACTGAATAAATTTTAAAAACCATACTCCGTGGCCTGCTTTCTTATTTTGTGTATGTTGGTCTCAGCATTCCCAGAGGAATTAATCTAGGTACAGCATATAGCATGAGCAACAGCACAGACATCTCCTAATTTAACCAATAGATATTATAGGATCTCTTGGGTTGGATTATGTCAAGTTACCAGCAGAAACTACTGATTATAAAATTTCCATTACATCATTATCCTGTCAGGTAAGAAAGGTAAGTATTAGGAGGGGTAACAGTCTCATTATGGTATGGAGGCTTATTCTGACATCTTATAAAAAGCTGTCTACAGCATGAAGGCATCAACCTCTTGTCCTAATTTGGAATTTTAATGTCTCTGGTTATAGCGTTTAGTGGTTTAGTGAACTTTTTATGTGACCCATACATCAGGCACAAGACTTGTCACTTAAAATTCATATACTTTCAGCTACAGATCTTCAGGAACAGAGCAGTTCCCATATTTAGTAATTTTGTGGAAGAAAGTTGAATTAGAGGAATGAAGAACTCAAGATCTAGTCTAGTCTACAGGTAGAAAATAAAAACGTGAAAAATATGTACAGGGCTGTAATCTAGTAACAGGTATATTATAGTTTTTCTCTAGAAACATTTTTTTTCTCTGTACATTGATCACATAGGAATGTCTGATTTTAAAATATTTTAAGGCTAGAAAGCCAAACCAAGGCCGACTTTAGATTGTACCTGCATTATTAAGGTTACTGGGTCTACCAAGAAGTGACAACTTTTACTCTCTCACTGTAAGGCTGGAAATTCTTGAAGCTTGGCATTCTATACACATTCTCAAGTATGATATTTCAGTTAAAGCCTTGGCAATATAGTCAATGTATCTAATTGTATACTGTTATAAAGAGAGCAGACTCTTAAGGGACTTATGTAAATAACCATTTTTTGGCCATAAAAATAAGAATACTCATGGATAGTTTTTGAATTTTAGAAGGATCAAGAGGGAAAATAAACAAATGTTTCTTTGCAAAAGTATACTTTACCAAATTTTTGTAAGCTATAGAAAGCTTAAGAGAAAAAAAAGTTGTTAAATCTGGAAAACAAAACCTTTAACTAAAGAACAAATGATATTTTAAATAAAAGTTATAAAAATTATCAGTTGCTTAATCTCATGTAATTAATTTTAGTTTTACTTGATTTTGATAAGCAGTTTTATGAGTTCATTAGTTTCTTCATCAGAGCTTTGAAAATTTGTTTAGTCTATTGATTTTAAAGTTACTAGAATCCTGTATTTAAAGATTCTAAGACTTGTCTAAGAATTCTAAGACTCTAAGACTCTAGTCTTTTCCATTAATCTAATTGCAAATGTCTGTAGAGAAGAATTCAAAACAGTAACTGTAGATGACAAAATCTTAGAATAACAATGATAAAAATCTGATGAAAGTTCAACATAACCAGAAATTGAGAAGGAAATGTGGATATTTTATAGGATATAAAATAATAACCAGAATTATGACTGATAACATGTCAGATTTCTAAAAGTTTTACACAATTTTGAAACTTTCCTAGCAATAGCATACTCGAATATAATGGAAAGATCTACCGTCGCTTTGCATTTGACCGTGCTTTCTATACAATTTACCAAATAGGCCTACTCATTTAATATCTCTACTAGATGAGAAATATGTTCTTTGAGGCTGTCTAGGGGCCTGAACGGAAAATCCCAAACCTTAATCTAGGTACAAAAGACTTAATTTAGAATTTTTACAGTGGGGAAGCGCATTAAAGATACCAAAAGGTTTAACATTTGATGAAAGCAGGATCATAGATCAGATCACTGTAAATTAGTAGTCATTCATGTAAGCAGATTGATAATCAAATACTTCAAAAGCAGTGCAGAAAATTACATGGATATTAAAAAAACATAAGATTTTCAAAGCTCATTTTCCTAAGTGATAAAAAAATCTAATAAAGATAACACAGAAAATTATTTTGATAAAATGTAAAATTGTGTTTTCTTAAGCCAGTGAAAAAAAAAGAGATAAAGATAAAGCAGTATAATTGCTTCTCCTTAAGGAAAACCCATTTAGATAACCTAGAAGTCGAAGCTCATGAAAAAGGCACTTGAATTTAACCAGACACAGAAAAAGTGTATGTCCAACATTATACATTAACACTGTAGAACGTAAATAAGAAAACTAGTACCTTGAGCAGTTCAATATGTGGCTCTTAGTAAAGTACAGGAAATTTCCTATTTACATGAAACAATTCAGGCACACAAAGAAAAGCCAAGAGGCTGGGCGTGGTGGCTCACGCCTATAATCCCAGCACTTTGGAAGGCTGAGGTGGGCGGATCACCTGAGGTCAGGAGTTCGAGACCAGCCTGCCCAACATGGTGAAACCCCATCTCTACTAAAAATACAAACAGAATAATAATAATAATAATAATAGCCAGGCATTGTGGCGCACAGCTATAATCCCAGCTACTGGGGAGGCTGAGGCAGGAGAATCTCTTGAACCCAGGAAGCAGAGGTTGCAGTGAGCCGAGATCGCACCACTGCACTCCAGCCTGGGCGACAAGAGCAAAACTCTGTCTCAAACAAAAAAAAGAGAAAAGCCAAGGGTACGGAATCAAATTATTCTGGAGGAAAACATTGCTGTTCCATGCCTTGAAAATAAACATTTCAGCATCTGGCCATAACAGCAGAATTAAAACTAGAGAAAAAAAATTACACAATATGATAAAAAATGTTGAAGGAGAGCGTTACCACCCAACCAAACAAAAATATGTACCTTCTCAAAGGGAGAAAGAGCTGAAGGCAATGATGTATGACCTTAAAATCATGTTCAGTGAGATACAAAAAAGGATGAATGCTTAAGATATAAATCTGAGAAGCTTTGAGAGGCAATCTCTACCTTAATAAATAAAATTATCATTCTAAATGAAGAAGACAACACTTCCAAACTGAAACTAGGGAAATTAAATGGATCACAGAAATAAATGTGACAGAAGTAAAAACTGTAAACTAAAAAAATAAATTTAAAAATAGCAAACTATGAAGAATTTGGAAGTAATGAAATGCATCATTCATTATTTTCCTGTTAACCATTTTATAGTAGATGGTTTACAAAAGTTTCAGAATTAAAAATCATAGCCCCTTACAATTTTACTAAGAGTAGATTAATACTTCAAGAAAATATTTTTGTTGAATATAGGGAACCAAATATTTAATTTTGTCAGTCTATTTTTAACATCAAAGATTAATCTTTAGAAATAATTTCTAAATTACCTCAGTCTTTATAAATAATTATTCTTCCAATTGTAGCCAAATTGATCACACACAAAAGTCTCTTTCATAAATTCATGTCTCACAGGTCTTTCACAATTTATACACACCTTCCATGACATGCTGCTTCCTGCTTTGTCCTATTCATCCTCTTACTTAAATAGTCAGGCATTCTACTCAAGAACAAAAATTTACACACAAGATTCTTTCTCATACCAAATTATTCTCTTCTTTTTTACCTTCCTTACCAAAAATATATCTTCATACCTATACCTTTTTTTACACCATTCTCTACTACTTACTGGTTCCTATCTCGTTTCTACTCCCACCCTAAATTCACATTTTGAAACAATCTTTCAATAACCTCCTGAAAAAACAAAGTTACTATTTTTTCTCATAAATAACACATTTTTATGACTGTCTTAGAATTTTCTTTATCAAAAGCACATCTTTTGTTGGGTACACTTTGCACACAGAATTAACAGTATAATAATTAGAATTTGTAGGCTGAGTGCAGTGGCTCATACCTGTCATCCCAGCACAATACGTAACGTGTAAACACACATTTGCAAATACACAAATGAAAATCTTATAGCTTTCATTTGAGAATCTCAGTCATGAGACAGTAAAACACAGTAATAGGAACTCACCAGTTTATAAAAGAAAGTTGGATCCAAATTATATTTCTTACTAAAGTATTGTTCACATTGCTAATAAATGTGAACTAATAATGTGAACATTGCTAATAAATGTGAACTAATAATGTGAACATTGATAATAAATGTGAAAAGCAGTTTTATACTTTAAAATTTTTATACTCTTTTTTAGTTTCAAATGAGTTTAGGGTTAATATTCAAATTCTTATGTTTTAGCTAGGACTAAATAAATTGTATAAGAAAAAAAAATCTCTCTAAGTGGCCTTGAATGAGTAACAAATCTCTCTTTTGTTTATTGGTCTGGTTTGCTTAATATGTCAATGCAGGTGGGAAAGCATTTTAGAAAAAAAAAATTATTTTGAAGGATTTTTGTGGCTCCTCTGTGGCAGGCAAAACATTTTTATGTAAGATAGAGATAACTTACATTATTGCTCTGAGCTCAAGATTTTGAACTATTTGATCTGAGATCCTAGCATTCATAACCATTATCTATTTTTTTCTCTTAGAATAAAAATATTTCAGTTAACTGTTTCATTACCCTAAGCAGTTGCTAACCACACAAACCTAAATTTGTATTAAAAGGGAACATTTTTAGGAGCTTCTCATTGAGATTTGTCTTCTGCAGAGATGGGGAAATTTGAAAGCTTTCATGGACCTTTTTTTTCCTTTGTAGAGTTCCTTTTCCAGGGATCTGTGTGTTTAAAGTAGTGGCAGACACCAGAAGGTCTCTCTGCTTAGTGCTCTGTCTACAAGTTTTCATCTTTGGTAAATGAAGTTTAAAATTTGTAGTGTTTTTGTCTTATTAGTGTCCTCAAGGGTGTGAGCAAGTTGATTTGCTAAATTAATTAGAGCAGAAGTAGGCATGGTTTTCCATTCTGTGTGAGCTCTTTTAACAAGCTGAGAAAGTTCTTGAGAGAGGCCATTGACAAAAATGGAATTAAAAGCTACTCAAGTAGAATCAATGGAATTATCTGAGATAGTTCTACAAAAAAATAAGTTTGGAGAATTTGAATGATCTCTTTAATGACATAAATTATCTTTTGTGTAATCTGTCCATCAGTTAAAAATATGCAGGAAAAGAGACCATAAATTTTGAATGTATAGCTGGCTGCAGTTCCAGAAAGCTTGGCATGTCTTAATATTTAAGAACCTATTCCATTTCTTATTAATCTCTTTAGAGCATAAAAAAATCCTATAAATTCTGTACCAACATTTCAGAAGTTTAGACTGGTGTTTTAGATGGTGGTGACCATTCTAGTGGCTTTTAATTGGCCATGTCATCCCTACCATTTAGAATGTTTATTTTTGCTCTTGGAAAATGTTCAGGAACAAGCAAGGCAAAAAAGGGCCAAATTATTTATCTATGCACATAACCATATCAAAATGAAACCCATATCAGAGTGCTCACAAAAATTATAACCCAGCCATATTGATAAAACAAAATAGTAAACTAGATGCACAGAAAGAAACAAAAGTGAATTCACCAGAAAAGACGTGCCTCGAAGACAAATACAAATTTCACAGAAACCAGAGTGCTCTCAAAAGGACACTCCAGACAAGGCTTGCCATGAGGGACTTTCATAGTCCCAAGAGAGATGCAGGGTCCTTCACTTAAGATATCTTTATAACCAAATCAGATAGCCAATAAAGTCAAAAAGAACTCACCAAAGGAAAGAAGGCAGACAATCTGAGAGGACATTTACCAAGGTAGAAAAGACAATTGACAGAAATGGAGAGCACAATGGCTTAGTCAGTACCACACTCAATTCTAGGGGCCACCGTTTTAACCGAGGTCAGCTCACTTCAGTTCTGCTTCAGACACCATTTTGTCAAGCTCAATAAAAAACATAGAAAGGCTCTCTGAAAGAAAATGATATTTATTCAGGAATGGGTGTTGCAATAGGAATACACATGCCATAGTAATCTATGTGAGTATTAAGAAATGTAAAGGAAGGCAAAGGTTTTTAAAGGACAAAATGAGATGGGGCATATAATTGTTGTGAGACAATTATTATTGCCTACATTGATCAGTAACAAGGGTGGTGCTGATCTGAGTTTAGACAGGCAGTGGCTGGGCAGATATCCTTGCAGAACTATTTTTGTGTGTGTAAGGTTGTGATGCTTTTATGCAAAGGTGTGGTTTTTGAAAAGGTTTTTGTCGTCAGGCATTTATGCATGGGAACCCACCATTCATGGCCTACCCTGTCTCCAATATTCAGGGTATCCGAGGTTGGGTAATTTATAAAAAAAAAAAAATGGTTCTTGGATTCAGAATGGTAATGAAGATTGGGCACCTGACGCAGATGCTCAATCGTGAACTTTTCAACTCACAATTCCGACAGCTGAAAAGTTCAAGATTGGGCATCTGAATCTGATTAGGGCCTCAGGTTACTTCCACTCATGGTGGAAAGCAAAAGGGAGCCTGTGTGTGCGGGAAATCACATCGTAGAGAGGAAGCAAGAGAGAGAGGGAGGAGGTGCCAGGCTCTTTTTAAGAACCAGCTCATGTGGGAAATAACAGAGTGAGAATTCACTCACCCTGGAAGGAATGTATTAATCTATTCATGAGGGATCTGCTCCCATGATCCAAATATCTCCCATTGGTTCCCACCTTCAACACTGCGAATAAAATTTCAACAAGAAGTTTCAAAGGAATAAATATCAGCACTTAGGAAAAATATGAAAGAAGTCAAATTTGTCTTCATTTCCACTTTCTCTTCAATGTTGGCCTTACATCCTTCTTTACCTCATTCCACATCTTTTAGGTAATCAGTGCATGTGTATCCTCTTCTCTTGTGACTTGCAACACTTTTTAGCAGGAATGAGTGTGTATTCAGGGTCATTGTAAGCCTCAATGTTGTATTCTCTGCTTGGATGCAAAAAGAGAGGCAATGAGTGAGATGTCAGACCTGTTGTTAAAAGCAATTCCCCCAAAGCAGAGAAGGGACTCAATTCTTTGCTTGGGGCAAAACTTACCGTTGTGAACCCAGGAAACAAGAGTGGGAAAGATAAGAGGTTTTTGTTTTCATTTTTCCTAGTTTAAGCAATCATATTGAGTTGAATCAGGGTTTCCATTTACAATCTAGTTTTATACACCACAGAGAGGGAGGAGTCTCCTAGATTCAAACAATAAGTCAACTGTCAGTACTAGTTCTTGGTCTTTTTATGATTTTTCTGTTTTTGGTGTCTTACCAGGTATTTTAGTGCAAAATCAGAAGAGTCTGCATCAGAGGCTACAGTCATACTATACATACTCGCTGTTGAAAGTGAATGGTCCTTTTGGAGACTCCTGGGCCATATATATGAATCCTATTCCTAAAACCAGTCTTGAGGAAGAACAGAACCTCAGGGCTACTGACAGCGCCTCCTCTCTCATTGCTCTTGGTAACCATATGACATTATTTACTTGGCCTTTTCAGGAGGCCACAGATGCCACTGATAGCAGTCTTCACACTTTAAAGAACTTTAAATGTTTGGCAGACATTGATAAACAGAGCACCCTGCTCTGTTTTCCTCATCAGATGAATACCAAAACCCTTGTCAAGGTGACAGAGCTATTAAGTGTCTATTCACACGGCAATCAGAAATTTGAGCATCAATCAGTAATCATAAAGTCAGGGGCATTTTCTCACAAAGTCAGGAATTCAGAGGGCTTTCATAAGCTAATCAGCAGGCATCAAATAGACAATCTATCTAATTAGCTGCTCACATTCAGATAGCAATCAAAGCAACACAGTAAGCTTCATTAGTAATGATATTGAAAAATGTGATCTGTGCAGTATTCAACTAGAAAATGAATATCCATTTTCATAAATAGGTGAGGGGGATGTGGTTGTACTGTGTGTACCATATGGCAGTTCAAAGATGCAGTCACCAGAATCCCAACTGATGCCTATTTCTGCTTTTCTGTTGGCCTGAAAGTAAGGGAGAGAAGGTGGAGTCACTTCTTATAAAGCTGACAATAGCATATCAATAAACTCTGGGTGACATGACCCACTTTAGAGGAAAAATGAGGCAGAAGGAGGTGAAGGGGAAGTCAATAATTCTGGAACTTTACTGTTCTTTATGAAAATTTCATTTCTAGTTCTAACTTCAACACTGCTTTATACTCAATATCCACTTTTCTACTAAGAATCCCTTCCTTGGAGAAGATGGGTGCCAAAGCACTGCATAATAGATCTGGAGATGTCCTCTTTCTTCGAGGTAAGAACACTCTTCTGGCCCCAAAACAACCATCCACCAGAAAGTAGTTGGCCAAATTAGTGCTAAAGGCCTTCTCAAGCAGAGACTGAAGTCCTTTTTTATAACCCTGAATGGCAACAATGTATCACACATTTTGCCAGGGGTTTTGAAAATAATTTAGGGAATAGACATGTTTACTGTTATCCAAGAACTTACCTTATCTTTGAGTAGCATTAATGAAAAAAATAGCAAATATTAATTTTTAAAAAGAATGTAATTAAGGGCTAGATGGTGTGTTCCAAATCTGCATATTTTAGATTTGAGAACTGAACAGAGAAAAGCTCACTGCTCTATGGAATGTCAGGAGCTTTTGGAAAAAGCAGGCCAGGAGCTGATTGCTTTCAAAGTGTTATATTTCTTAACTGCTGGTGTTTCAAGAAAATTGACACTCATTTTTAGTGAAAGGTGGATATACTTCAGAAAGCCAGTACAAAATTGTCACATAACTTAAAAGAAAAAATGTACAAATAAACCGTCAGATATTTTGCCCAGCTTAGCACACTTTTAAGGGTCAGATTTCTCTATCAAATCTTCACAGGTCAATGCATGTTTATAAGTGAAAAATACCATTTGACCCAGCAATCCCATAACTGGGTATATACCCAAAGGATTTTAAATCATTCTACTATAAAGACACATGCACACGTATGTTTATTGTGGCACTGTTCATAATAGCAAAGACTCAGAACCAATCCAAATGCCCATCAATGATAGACTGGATAAAGAAAATGTGGCACATATACGCCATAGAATACTATGCAGCCATAAAAAAGGATGACTTCATGTCCTTTACAGGGACATGGATGAAGCTGGAAATCATCATTCTCAGCAAACTAACACAAGAACAGAAAACCGAACACCGCATGTTCTCACTCATAAGTGGGAACTGAACAATGAGAACACATGGACACGAGGAGGGGAACATCACACACCAGGGCCTCTCCAGGGGTGGAGGGCTAGGGGAGGGATAGCATTAGGAGAAATACCCAATATAGATGACGGGTTGATGGGTGCAACAAACCACCATGGCACATGTATACCTATGTAACAAACCTGCACGTTCTGCACATGTATTCCAGAACTTAAAGTATAATAAAAAAATTTAAAAAAGAAACAACATTTAATGATATCATAAGGTGTGTTTGGCGGAACTGTAAGTTCCTTAAAGAAAAGCTTCCTACCCCACACACCTTGGGGTATCCACAGCAGAGCTGGATAGATTATATGTCTGGGTTACAAAATATTGTTTTGAGGCTTGAAGAGGGGTTCTGTTTTGAAACAACGCTGATATTTAAGTCTCTATTTCAGGGTCATCTCTTCTGAAAAGCCCTCCTAATCCCTACATCATCTCTCCTGGTGTTCTATCTACTTCTAACTCCACTTACTCTTACAAAATTTTCTTACATATATTTATTTACATTTTTGAATCCCTCTATTAAGTTGAAAGTCCCCTTACGGCAAACAATGTTTCTGATTCAACTTTGTAACCCCATCAACTGATATGTGTCCAATGAATAAAAGAGTGAATGACTACTTTTCAATTAGTTTGAGTTATGTGAAAACTTGTTGAGTTCTATGGAAGGAAAATGCTTTAGACACCGAGGAAGCCATTACAGGGATTTATTAAGAACACTTAGTGCCCAGAAGGCTATGTGTAAGATATAAAACCACGTCTCTGTCTCCAAGGAGTTTCTGTGCTTATGTATGACAGATCACTCATAGATTCACTCTGCAGGAAGTTTAATATGAGGGTTGGAGAGAACAAGCATTCAAAGAATGAAAAATCTGGTTTATGATAAAAAAAAAAAATCCTAAGAGGTGTTCAAGGAGCTTGTTATATAGAAAGAAAAGTTTAAAGGCACAGAAATAAATGAGGACATGGTATCTTAAGGGAGAGAGCAAGAGCAGGCCTTACTTTATACAAAGAAGAACACCAGAGTCTTAGAAAATGTGTAATAATTCCACTGAAGATATTTAAACTTCTACGTTTCAAGATACAATTTTCACATGAAAAGTGCCATAAATGAACTAGGAAATAAAATCCCCATGAGTGAAGTAAGCTGAGAGTTTCATTTGTTTCCTTCCTTTTTCATGTCTCACTGCACAGAGCACTTGATTATATAAAGCCAGGGCTTGGCCGCACCTCACAACGGCACTAAGTGGTAAGAGCTTGGAGCCTGAAGCTCAAAGGCACAGCAGCTGCAAACCCCATCAGGTACCTCCACCATAGCAGGCACTGAAGAAGGTGCAACAGGGTCTGTGCCTGGTTGGGTTTAGATGTTGAGAGGCTTGTCATTACATTCTGCCCTGGAGGAGTGACAGCCGACTGCTGCTCTGTGCAGAAAGCCTGGGTGCTCTGCGGAAACAGGCATGTTAAGGAGCAGTTGCTTTGGTAGAGAGGGAAGTGCCATGCAAGAGACCTTCTGTTCCTGGGTGTGAATTAGTCTGTTCAGATGAGCTGCCATAACAAAGTACCACTAACAGAGGCGGCTTAAACAGCAGAGATTTATTTTCTCACTGTTCTGAAGGCTGGAAGTCCAAGATCAAGGTTTTGGCAAAGCTGTTTCTTCTGAGGCTCCTCTCCTTGCTTTGCAGATGGCTGCTTCTCCCTGTGTCCTCACATGGCCTTTCTGTGTGTGTGCACATCCCTGGTGTCTCTCTGTGTGTCCTAATCTCCTCTTCTTACAAGGACACCAGCCATGCTGGATTAGAGGCCACTCTAATGACAACATTTTAATGTAATTACATAATTAAAGGCATTATTTTTAAATACAGTCATAATACCTAACACTCAGAGTTAGGACTTCAACTTATAAATTTGAAGAGGACAAAATTCAGCCCATAACAGAGAATGAGGGCACCTCTCAACCTTCCCCTGCAGCGCGGCTTCAGAAAGCACCCTCTCTGTTCTTCTCAGAGATAATTCTTTTCATAATTCAATAAAAAGGGGAAAAATTGCTAATATTTAAAGAGAGTTTACAGTTGCCAGGTAAAATACTAAACATTCCATGTAAGTTATGACATAATCACAATAACCTTATAACTGGGGTGTGGTTATTGGTTCCATTTATCTTGGGGTTGCAAAATAGATGTTTTTAATGTTGTCCACTTTTAAAAAGTTTTTTGAGGTATAATTGACATAAAATAAAATCTAGTACCAGTATATAATTTGATAAACTTATCGAATTTGACATATTTATACACCTTTGATATATTTATTTAATAACATTAGTACATAATTTGATAAACTTATCAAATGTGACATATTTATACACCTGTGAATTCATCATCCACTGAAAAGTCTCCTTGTGCTCCTTGTAATCCAATGTTCCTGCCCCTTCCTACAATCTACCCACTTCATCCTCCGGCAACCACGGGTCTGCTTTCTCTCACAGTATACTTGTTTACATTTTGTACAATTTTGTATGAATGGAATTTATGGTGTGTACTTTTCTGGTCTGCTTTATTTCCTTCAACGTAATTAATTTTAAAGTCATCCAAATTCTTATACCGATGACTTATACCAATAAGTCATTCATTTTACTGCTGAGTAGTGTTTCATTGTGTGGATATACAGTTTGTTTGTTTATTCACCTATCAATGCACATTTGGGTTGTTTCCAGGCTAGGGCTACCACAAATGAAGCTGCTATGAGTATTCATGTACAAGTCTTTGTATGAATATATGCTTACATTTTTCTTGGGCAAATTCCCAGCAGTAGAGAGGCTGGATCATATGGTCAGTGTATATTACCTTTTTTTCTTTTTTGTTTTTTTCTTTATTTTCAGAGACAGGAGTTTTCAATCTGTCATCCAGGCTGGAGTGCGGTGGCACAACCATAGATCATTGCAGCCTGGATCTGCTGGGTTTCAGGGATCTTCTTACCTCTGCCTCTCAAGTAGCTAGGACCACAGGTACATGCCACCATGCCTGGATAATTTTTAAAAAATTTTTTTCTAGAGACAAGCTCTCACTGTGTTGTCCAGACTGGTCTCAAGCTCCTGGCCTCAAGCAATCCTCCTTCCTTGGCCTCCCAATATTTAATTTTTTTTGTTTTTCTTTTACTTTTTTGAGATAGAGTCTTGCTCTGTCACTCAGGCTGGAGTACAGAGGCGGGATCTTGGCTCACTGCAACCTCCATCTCCCAGGTTCAAGCGATTCTCGTGCCTCAGCCTTCCTAGCAGCTGGGATTATAGGTGTGCGTCACCATTCCTGGCTAATTTTTTTTATTTTTAGCAGAGACATGGTTTCACCATGTTGGCCAGGCTAGTATCAAACTCCCGACCTCAACTGATCCCACCCACCTCGCCCTCTCAAAGTGCTGGGATTATAGTCGTGAGGCACTGCGCCTGGCCCAATATATTAACTTTCTAAGAAACTGACAAACTGTCTGGCAAAGTGGTTGTACCATTTTACATTCTTACCAACAGTGTATGAGAGTTTCAATTCCTCCACTTCCGTGCCAAATCTTAATATTATCTGTCTTTAGATTATAGTCATTCTAGTGGGTGGGTAGTGGTATTTCAATGTGGTTTTAATTTGCATTTTCTGAATAAATAATGATGTGTTTATTTGCCCATCATTTTTCACTTCTTTGGTGAAATACCTGGTAAGATAATTTTCTATTTTTTTATTAGATTGTTTTATAAATATTTTGTATTCTGGATATATAAGTCCTTTATCAGACTTATAATTTGCAAGTTATTTCTCCCAATTTGTAGCTTGTCTCTTTATTTTTTTAACAGTGTCTTTTAAATATAAATTTTTAAGTTTGATAAAGATTAATTTATCAAATGCTCCCTTTGGGATTGTGCTTTTGGTGTGATACCTAAGAAAATATGTGCCTAACAGAAGGGCATGCAGATTTTCTTCTGTGTTTACCTCTAGAAGTTTTTTTGGTTTACGTTTTATAAGTAGGCCTATTATTCAGTTTTAGTTGATTTTTGTGTATGACCTCAGGTATAAATTTCTTTGTTTTGCTTTGCTTATGGATATCCAATTGTTCTACCACCTTTTTCTCCACTGACATGCCTTTTGCACCTTTGTCAAAATCTGTTGCCTATGCATGTTTATTTCTGGACTCTCTATGCTGTCATATCATCTATTTGTTATGTAGTATAAGTTGTCTAAATTTGTTCTTCTTTTTCAAAGTTATGTTGACTATTCTAGGACCTTGCATTTCAGCTAGGAGGAGGTGGAGAACTTGAGAACAAGTGGCCTTCTCTGAGCATCCGCGTTGTTAGCTACTCTGATATGCTGCTTCAAGGAAAACATGTCTCCCCCTACAATTGGTAGAGACATGATTACAAACAGAACCACTACCTTCCCCTTCTAAAACGATGGGACAATGTACTCTTTTGATCTTAAGATATCATCCCTTATCCTGTTTGGGATCTGTTTTATATTATTTTCAATTGTTATTTCATTGTCTCCTTAGAAACTCTAAGGAACTATTTCTGTTCCCAATAAAAACACCACAAATGAAAAATTGTTAGGCCCACTTTTATTCTTTAACATAGCAACCAGGAACCAAGAGAAAGCCCACGTTGTTACTGGGAAAAACGTGTTTTCAATTTTTAAATGCCATGTATGAGCTCTAAAGCTAAAGGATTCAACACATAGTTTTTAATATATATATTCTTATTAATGACAAAATTCTGAACTACTTTTCTCCTACTTTCCCAACTCTGATTAAAATAACTGTACTCTTCTCTTTCTGTCTACGGTATAATTAAACCTCCCACTTGAATACAAAGCAAAATTCGATTGAGAGGTGTGTTTATATCACATGAAACACAATAAAGCAGGATGAAGTATTTCTTAAATCGTTTGCAAATGAATGGCTGCAATATTCCCAGGTTCCTCTCTGCTCTCCTGCAAACTAAAAACAACTATGGCTATTCATTAATATATGGACCCCGAAGGACTTCTTGAGACATTTAAAAGCTGGATAAAATCAGTGTGACCTAATGGAAAATCACAGGGAAAGATATTAAATGAAAGATGTGTGCTGAGACCCGGAGAGAATTTCAGATGGGGAAAAACAGGAACAAACTGTAATCTGATGCCATGATAGGAGCTGGATAACAGCAAGATAAAGGAAAAAGAAATGAACTGGGCATCTAGAAAGGGTCAGTGCCATGGCCGAAGTTACAGCCAAGAATAATACCCAGATCTCCTGCCCTCAAAGCTGCAGTAGATGATAGAAGAGAAAAATCAACCACAGCTTCACATCTGGTCTCTTGGTTCAGCTGCAATTAGGAGCCAGCCAATTCTTAGTCCTTTGTTATAAGAAACTCTTGTTCTGCCACATTAGTTTTTTAGGTAGTTATTATGTTACATTTTCCCTTAGTAGCTATTTTCATTATTAAACAAAATATATTTTTGCCAGTTTCTTCATTTTTAATGCAAGATTACTCATATTTCAGATAATAATAAAATATCCTTGCAAGCTACCCATCTGACAAAGGTCTAATATCCAGAATCTACAAGGAACTTAAACACATTTACAATTAAAAAAAAAACCCTAACAAAAAGTGGGCAAAGTATATGAAGAGACACTTCTCAAAATAAGACATTTATGTGGCCAATAAACATATGAAAAAAGCTCACCATCACTGGTAATTAGAGAAATGTAAATCAAAACCACAATGAGATATCATCTCATGCCAGTTAGAATGGCGATTATTAAAAAGTCAGGAAACAACAGATGCTGGCAAGGCTTTGGAGAAATAGGAATGCTTTTACACTGTTGGTGGGAGTATAAATTAGTTCAACCATTGTGGAAGACAGTGTGACAATTCCTCAAGGAACTAGAACCAGAAATACCATTTGACCCAGCAATCCCATTACTGGGTATATATCCAAAGGATCATAAATCATTCTACTATAGAGACACATGCACACTTATGTTTATTGCAGCACTAGTTACAATAGCAAAGACTTGGAAACAACCCAAATGTCCATCAATGATAGATTAGATAAAATGTGGCACATATATACCTTGGAATACTATGCAGCCATAAAAAAGAATGAGTTCATGGCCTTTGCAGGGACATGGATGAAGCTGGAAGCCATCATTCTCAGCAAACTAACACAGGAACAGAAAACCAAACACTGAATATTCTCAGTCATAAGTGGGAGTTGAACAATGAGAACACATGGACACAGGGAGGGGAACATCACACACATGGGCCTGTTGGGGGGTGGGGGGAAAGGGGAGGTGGAGCATTAGGACAAATACCTAATGCATGCAGGCAGGGCTTAAAACCTAGATGATGGGTTGATGGCCACAGCAAACCACCATGGCACATGTATACCTATGTAACAAACCTGCACGTTCTGCACATGTATCCCAGAACTTAAAGTAAAATAAAAAAAAATGTATATCCTTTCAACATTTTATTAAACAGTTCTCAAAAAATCATCTTAAGTTCAGGAAAGCACTGAAAGGAGAGTAAGAAACTACCAAACCAAAATAGAGGGGAGTGAGCAAAATGAGTGGTAATTCAGAGCTGCTGCAGATCCTGGACTCTGGGCTCTACCCATCCACTGCAGGGCTCCACCCATCCACTGCAAGAACACTGCATGCACCTCATTCACGAAGTAAGAATAAAGATGATTTTATAATCTCATATGGTGCAGAAAAAAGCACTTGACAAAATTCAGCATCCATTCATAGTAAAAATAAAATCTCTCAGCAGGTTAGGAAAAGAAAGACCTATGATTAAAAATACATTACAGTCATGTGTCACTTAACTATAGGAATACAATCTGAAAAATGCATCATTAGTTGATTTCATTGTTGTGTGCACATCATAGGGTGTACGTACACAAACCTAGATGATGCAGCCTACTATGCACCTAGACTACATGGTATGGCCTATTGCTCCTAAGATGCACACCTGTACACTAGGTTACTGTACTGAATACTACAGGCAATTCTAACACAATGGTGAGTATTTGTTTATCCAAATATATTTAAATATAAAAAAGGTACAGTAAAAATATGGTATTGTAATTTTATGGGACCACAGTAATATATATGGTCTGTCATTGACCAAAGACCAAAGCGTCGTTATGTGGGTTACATGGTGCATGAGTATATGCATAAAAATCTTGTAGCAAGATCAGAAACAAGACAAAAATGCATCCTCTCACGACTTCTAGTTTTTTTTTTTGTTTTTTTTTTTTTTTAAACAGTGTATCACTCTGTCACCCAGGCTGAAGGGCAACGGTGTGATCTTGTCTGACTGTAGCTTTGACCTCCCTGGGCTCAGGTGATCCTCCCATCTCAGCCAACAGAGTGGCTGGGACCACAGGTGCATGTCACCACTTCCAGCTAATTTTTGTATTATTAGTAGAAACAGGATTTCACCATGTTGCCTAGGCTGATTTCGAACTCCTGGGCTGAAGTGATCCACTTGCCTTGGCCTCCCAAAGTGCTGGCATTATAGGCATAAGCCATCATGTCTGGCTCTAGTTCACATTATACTAGAGATCCTGCCCAGGAGAGGAAATGGAAATGTAAGAAGGATAAGAAAGGAAGAAACAAATCCATCGTAGTTCACAGATGATTTGATTGTATTAGGGTTTCTAAATTAGTTTAGTAATATTTCTATATACAAAATCAATATACAAAAATTATTGTATTTCAATAAATCAACAATAATTAAAAGTAATCAGAAACACTATATATAATATCACTAAAATGTTAAAATATCAAATAATAATTCTATAACAAATGTGCAAGATTTCTACAAGACAACTGATAAAATTTTATTGACACACTTAAAAAGAATTAAATAAAGGAGATATATGTTGATGGGTTGAGAGAATCTATATTTAAAGTTGTCAGTTTTTCCCGCATAAATCTATAGATTCAATGTAATACCATTGAAAATCCAACAAGTTTGTTCAAGTTTGTAACTTGGCAAGTGGACGGTACAATTTTTATGGAAAAGCAAAAATTTTTAAAAGTAGCTCATTCACTTCAAGAAGAAGAACAGGTGAATGGTTTGCTTTTCAGATACAATATTATATTATAAGGCTTTGATAATGAAAAAATGCATATAGATAAATGGGAGAGTCCAAAAAGAGATTTATCCTTCTATGCATACTTGACTTATACAGGGGTGAAACTGCAGAGCTGTGGGGAAGACACAGATTTCCAATAAGTTGTTCTGGGATCATTGGATAAGCCATAAGGGAAATAAAATAAAATTAGAAACCTGCTTCTCACCATATAAAAGATATCAACTTTAGGTAGATCATAAACCTAAATATGAAGAAAAAGCAATAAAGCTTCCTAAAGTCAATATAAAAGAATATCTTTACAAATTTGGATATAAAGTAATTTCTTCAATAAAACAAAAATGTGATCAGCATAAAGACTGATAAATAGAAATAAATTAAAACTAAAGACATCTATTCCCTACAAGGTACTATAAAAATAGAGGGGGAATAAAGCCAGAAAATACATTTGTTGTACATGTAAACAAAGGGCTGAAATACATAAAGATTTCCTACAAATCTGTAAGAAAAAGACAAGAAAGATAGGCAAGAGTTGTGAAAAGACACTTTATTAAAGATGTTGAATGGTTGATAAAGTTATGAAATTGCATTCAACCTTTAGTCACAAAAGAAATCCAGATTAAAACTAAAATGTGATACCCTTTACATGCCGTAGGTCAGCTAAAACTTAGCTGAAAATATCAAGTGTTGGTAATGATGTGGAGCAAATGGAACTCTCATACACAGTTGTTTGTAATGTCAATTATTTTAACGAACAACTTGGAAAACTGATATTATCTAATAAGACTAAGCCTATGCTAGCCTGTTACCCTGCAATTCTATTCTAAGCATATAACCAACAATTATGTACTCATGTTCACCAAGAGACACGTACATCAATTTTATAGTGCTATTATTGGCAATATCTGAAAACCAGAAAGAATTAATATGTAAATAAATTGTGGTGTTTTCATTAACAGGAACACTAAATAGCAATGAAAATGGAAGACGCACAGCTACACATAACTGGCAGAGATCCTTACACCTTATACAAAAATTAATTCAAGATGGATTAAAGACTTACATGTTAGACCTAAAACCATAAAAACCCTAGAAGAAAACTGAGGCAATACCATTCAGGACATAGGCATGGGCAACGACTTCATGTCTAAAACACCAAAAGCAATGGCAACAAAAGCCAAAATTGACAAATGGAACCTAATTAAACTAAAGAGCTTCTGCACAGCAAAAGAAACCACCATCAGAGTGAACAGGCAACCTACAGAATGGGAGAAAATTTTTGCAACCTACTCGTCTGACAAAGGGCTAATATCCAGAATCTACAATGAACTCAAACAAATTTACAAGAAAAAAACAACCCCATCAAAAAGTGGGTGAAGGATATGAACAGATACTTCTCAAAAGAAGACATTTATGCAGCCAAAAAACACATGAAAATATGCTCATCATCACTGGCCATCAGAGAAATGCAAATCAAAACCACAATGAGATACCATCTCACACCAGTTAGAATGGCGATCATTAAAAAGTCAGGAAACAACAGGTGCTGGAGAGGATGTGGAGAAATAGGAACACTTTTACACTGTTGGTAGGACTGTAAACTAGTTCAACCATTGTGGAAGTCAGTGTGGCGATTCCTCAGGGATCTAGAACTAGAAATACCATTTGACCCAGCCATCCCATTACTGGGTATATACCCAAAGGATTATAAATCATGCTGCTATAAAGACACATACACATGTATGTTCATTGTGGCACTATTCACAATAGCAAAGTCTTGGAACCAACCCAAATGTCCATCAATTATAGACTGGATTAAGAAAATGTGGCACATATACACCATGGAATACTATGCAGCCATAAAAATGATGAGTTCATGTCCTCTGTAGGGACATGGATGAAGCTGGAAACCATCATTCTCAGCAAACTATTGCAAGGACAAAAAACCAAACACCGCATGTTGTCACTCATAGGTGGGAACTGAACAATGAGAACACATGGACACAGGAAGGGGAACATCACACACCAGGGACTGTTGTGGGGTGGGAGGAGGGGGGAGAGATAGCATTAGGAGATACACCTAATGCTAAATGACGAGTTAATGGGTGCAGCACACCAACATGGCACATGTATACATATGTAACAAACGTGCACGTTGTGCACATGTACCCTAAAACTTAAAGTATAATAATAATAAAAAAAGATAAATCTCATAAAGGCACTATTGAATGAAGAAATAAACACACAAAAATATACACAGTATGATTACATTTCTATAAAACTCAAAAACAGACAATCACATTGTTTAGTGATGTAGTCTTACCTAGTAAAGAAAAGGTAATTATTACCATAAAAGGAGAGTAAGAAGGAAATATTGACTGTGAAGAGGCATAAGGGCTTCAGGGTTTCATGTCTTCAGCATGATGCTTCTTGACCCAGGTAGTGGTTACAAGAGAATATATTTTATGATATGTTTGTGTGCCATTACACAACAACAAAATTTAAAAAATATTCTTTAATCATCATCTACAATCACTTTTGGCACTTTTTATATTAAGAGTGTTAGAACCATACAACTAGAAGAGGAACATTTATACATTATTGCTAGGAATGTAACTTGATACAGTCATTATAAAAAAGTATGGAGGCTCTTCAAAAAATTAAAAATAGAACTGACATAGAACTTTGCAATCTCACCTCTGGATATATACCCAAAGGAAATGAAATCAGTATCTTGAAGACATACCTACACTTCTATGTTCATTGCAGCATTATTCACAAAAGCCAAGACATGGAAACAACCTAAATGTCCATTGATGGATGAATGGATTTTTAAAAAACGGTGCATGTGTGTATGGAGTGTGTGTGTGCATGCATAATGGAATGTTATTCAGCCATTAAAAAAGGAAATTCTGACATTTGTGACAACACGGATGAACCTGGAGGACATGAGGCCATTATACTAAGTGAAACAAGCCAGACTAAGAAGGACAAATACCGTACTGCATGAGCTCACTTTTATGTGGAATCTTAAATAGTCAAATTCACAGAAACAAAGAGTAGAATAGTGGTTACCAATGGTTGGGGGAGGGGAAAATGAGGAAATGTTGATCAAAGAGCACACCATGTCTTAGTTATGAAAGATGAACAAGTTCTGGAGATCCAATATACAACACCATGACTATAGTTAACAATACTGTATTGTATATTTGGAATTTGCTAAGACGGTAGAATTTTTTTTTTTTTTTTTTTTTTTTTTTTTTGAGACAGAGTCTCACTCTGTCACCCAGGCTGGAGTGCAGTGGCACAATCTCGGTTCACTGCAAGCTCCGCCTCCCAGGTTCACGCCATTCTCCTGCCTCAGCCTCCCGAGTAGCTGGGACTACAGGCGCCGGCCACCACGGCCGGCTAGTTTTTTGTATTTTTAGTAGAGATGGGGTTTCACCGTGTTAGCCAGGATGGTCTCGATCTCCTGACCTCGTGATCCACCCGCCTCGGCCTCCCAAAGTGCTGGGATTACAGGCGCTAGCCACCACACCTGGCCAAGAGGGTAGATCTTAAGTGTTCTTGCACATACACAGACAAAATAAAAAGGAAATGATAACTATGTCAGGTATTGGATATGTTCATTAGCTTGATTATGGGGATTATTTCACAATGTGTATGTATGTCAAAACATTAATTTATATACCTTAAATATATACAGATTTACTTGTAAATTGTACCTCAATAAAGCTGGGGGGAAAAAACACGCAACTTGCTTTTGGCTATCTACTTCGAAAAATCTGAATCATCTGATGCTATAAATGGTATGTCTTCCAACTTATCTTGGTGTGATATTTATTTCTATGAATTCTTGGGAGAAACTTTTAATTAAGCTTCATGTTTCATTTATTCATGTAATTAAAATTCACCCAATCGAATGCAAACTTTTATTCACATTACATGGAGCACAGTGATTGTGATTCTTCTATCTGAATTATCTGGTGACTTATTTTACTTTTTAGTTCAGGATACGAATTCTTTCAGTCTTTAGATCTGTTCCCATTGTTTTGACTTCCTCAGAAGTAATGAACATGTTTATCGTATATCTGTTATTACTCCTTTCTTTTCCATCTTCTATCATAATAATATCATTTATTTCTCAATTTCTATCAAATCTAAGACTTCTCAAATATACACTCCACATTATTGTATCTGTTTCCATACCATCAGTTCCTTCCTTTACTGCCTCTGGCACAAATTTTGTTTCTAGCATTATCCTTTTAATTTTCTCATAATCATTCCTTGCTCTCACCTACCTTTTTAAAATTTCTGTCATTTGCTCTCTATATGTTACACCTTTATTGCCTTCAACTACAGGAGTAAGAATGCCATGTTTTGATGCATTCTACTTAAGGTTTTAAAATATTTTTTGTTTTCCTAATAAATAATCTTTATACATAAGCTCTTCATCCCAATATTCAAGATACTCTTTCCTTTCCTGGACTATGCAGTAATTGTCATAGGCTCCATGTTGGTTTTTTCTCCTTTCTGGGTAAAAGACTATCTTCCTAGATCTACATTTGCTAAAAATCAGGGTATGTGAAATTCCCCCCTTGTCGCTGGATTGCTGGAGGTCCAACTGTATAGCAGCTTTATGCAACCATTTCAAGACTTTCCCTAACTCCATTGTTTTAATATAAATTATGCTGAAATCTTTAGCATGCACTGCTATCATTGTTTTTCCTGAGTCAATCCTGCATGCTTTGCTTGAAGGTTTTTGACCCCCAAAATACAGTGTGCCCATCATGAACCTTTACCCTCTCCACGTACTTCATGCAGTTGTACTTTTGCAGTCTGTAGCCTTTTGCTAAATGCTTAAAAAGAAGGAATACAGGTGTGGTTTGGAGATGGAGTTGGAATATGGGAGAAAAGCAGGGGGTGACAGAGAATAGCTCTCTAGGTATCTCAAAAAAATGCATGTACAGTGGAGAGAGAAATATCTGTTTAGTAGAGAGCTTGTATTTGTAAACAAGAGTGCAGAGAGTGCATGAGGGAGGGAGGGGTTTTCTAACTACATTGGAGTGAGGAGATTTCTCATGAGCTTGGAAAATGGACGCTCAATTACACTTTTCAATCTAGGTCAATCAACCTAATAGTAGAAATTCCTTCTAGATTTCACAATAGGTTTACTGTCAGTCTTAATTTAGCCTGTTGTGAGTTACTTTAATAGTACAGACATACCTCATCTTATTGTGCTTCACTTTATTGCACTTCCTAGATACTGTGTGTTTTTTTTTACAAACTGAAGGTTTTTGTTGACCCTGCATTGAGAAAGTTCATTGGTGCCATTTTTTTCCCAACAGTATGTGCTCACTTTGTGTCTCTCTGACACGGTTTGGTATTTCTCACAATATTTCAACTTTCTTATGATATTATATTTGATATACCAATCTGTGATCAGTGATCTTTGATAACATTATTGTAATTGTTTTGGGATGCCGCAAACCTCACCCATAAAAGACGGTGAACTTAAATTGATAAATGTGTGTATTCTGACTGCTCTGCCAGCTGGCCATTTCCCTGTTTCTCTTCCACTCCTTGGACCTCCCTATTCTCTAAGACACAACAATATTGAAATTAGGCTAAGTAATAACCCTACAATGGCCTCTAAGTGTTCAAGTGAAAGAAAAAGTTGCACGTCTCTCACTTTAAATCAAAAGCTAGAAATGATTAAGCTTAGCGAGGAAGACATGTTGAAAGCCAAGACAGGCTGAAAGTGAGGCCTCTAGTGCCAAAGAGCAAAATTGTGAATGCAACAGAAAAGTTCTTGGAATAAATTAAAGTGCTACTCCAGTGAACACACGAATGATGAGAAAGTGAAACAACCTTATTTCTGATACAGAAAGTTTTTGTGGTTTGCATAGAAGATCAAACCAGACACAACCTTCCTTTACAGTAAAGCATAATCCAGGGCAAGGGTCTAACTCATTTCAATTCAGTGAAGGCTGAGAGAAGCAAAGAAGCTGCAGAAGAAAAGATTGAAGCTAACAGAGGTTAGTTCATGAGGTTTAAGAAAAATTACCATTTCCATAGCAGAAAAGTGCAAGGTGAAGCAGCCAGTTCTTACGTAGAAGCTGCAACAAGTTATCTAGAAGATCTAGCTAAGATGCGGTTACACCAAACAACACATTTTCAATGTAGATGAAACAGCCTCTTATTGGAAAAAGATGCCGTCTAGGACTTTCATAACTAGAGAGGAGAAGTCAATGCCTGGCTTCAAAGATTCAAAAAACAGGATGACTCTCTTGTTAGGAGCTAATACAGCTGGTGGCTTTAAGTTGAATCTAATGCTCGTTTGCCATTCTGAAAATTCTAGGGCCTTTGGGAATTATAGTAAATCTACTCTGTCTGTGTTCTAGAATAGGAACAATAAAGCCTTGATGTCAGCGTATCTGTTTACAGCATGGTTTACTGAATATTTTAAGCCCACTGTTGAGAACTACTGCTCAGAAAATAAGATTTCTTTTAAAATATTACTGCTCATTGACAATGCACCTGGTTTCCTAAGAACTCAGATGGAGATGTACAAGGAGATTAATTGTTGTTTTTATGCCGCTAACACAACATTCATTCCATAGCCCATGGATCAAGAAGTAATTTCAACTTTCAAATCTTATTATTTAATAAATACATTTTGTAAGGCCATAGCTGTCATAGATGGTGATTCCTCTGATAGATCTGAGCAAAGTAAATTGAAAACTTCTAGAAAGGGTTTACCCTTCTAGATGCTATTAATAACATTTATGATTCAAGAGAAGAGATAAAAATATAAGCATTAACAGGAATTTGGAAGAAGTAGCTTCCAACCTTCATGGATGACTTTGAGGGGCTCAAGACTTCAGTGGAGGAAGTAACTGCAGATGTGGTGGAAATAGCAAGCAAAACTAGAATAAGGAGCAGGAAGCCATTATCTTCAGCAAACTAATGCGGGACCAGAAAGCCAAAAACCACAGGTTCTCACTTATAAGTGGGAGCTGAACAATGAGAACACATGGGCACAGGGAAGGGAAGAACACATACTGGGGCCTGTCATGGGGGTGGGTTGTGAGGAGGGAGAGCATTAGGAAAATTAGCTAATGCATGCTGGGCTTAATACCTAGGTGATGAGTTAATAGGTGCAGCAAACCACCATGGCACACGTTTACTTATGTAACAAACCTGCACATCCTGCACATGTACCCTGGAACTTAAAACAAAAAATTAATTTTAAAAAAGAAGTAGAGCATGAAGATGTGACTAAATTGCTGCAATCTCATAATAAAACTTGAAAGGATAGGGGTTACTTCTTATGGATGAGCAAAGAAAGTGGTTTCTTGAAATGGAATCCACTCTTGGTGAAGATGCTTTCAACACTGTTGAAATGAAAAAAAGGATTTAGAATATTAAATAAACTTAGTTGGCAGTGGCAGGGTTTGAGAACATTGACTATAATTTTGAAAGGAGTTCCACTGTGGGTAAATGCTGTCAAACAACACTGCATACTACATAGAAATCTTTCATGAAAGGAAGAGTTAACTGATGCAACAAACTTCATAGTTGTTTTATTTTAAGAAATTGCCACAGCCACTCCAACCCTCAACAACCACCACTCTGATCTGTCAGCAGCCATCAACATTGAGGCAAGATCCTCCATCAGCAAAAAGATTACGACTTACTGAAGGCTCTGGTGACCATTAGCAGTTTTAGCAATACAGTGTTTTTAAATTAAGGTATTTCATTTTTGTAGACAGAATGCTATTGCATACCAATAAACTACAGGATCGTATATACATAACTATTATCTGTATTAGGAAACCAAAAGATTTTTGTCACTCACTTTATTGTGATATTCACTTTATGGTGGTGCTCTGGAACAAAACTCACAATATCGCCAAGATATGTTTGTTATTTAGATAGAAACTGGAAATAACTCATTTCAAATATTTTTTAAAATAAAATATTCATTTTTAAATGTCATTTAACCTTATAGAACATAAAATTCTGGGAAGATGGTAAACTCGGCTAACAAAGAAGCAATTTTGCTTTCACATATTGAAAAATGCAGGTTTAATTAAATATATTTTATAATGTAATTTACATTTGAGCTCAGAGAAAAAAGGAAAACTCACAAGTTATTAAAAAGAAGAAACTTAGAGAAGAATGGTAAGGTAGCAGGTCAAAATCACAGTGGCCCTGCAAAAATACTGTATAGTGTATTGGACTAAAGAGCTACAAGGTTGGGTTTCATAGTGTGCATAAGGAGAGCTTATGTGATATTTTGCACACATAAGGCAGGATACTGGAACTGACACACTTCAGTGATTGTAAAATTCGAAGTAGTACACCCACTGAGGCAGGATAGATAGTCAAGACAGTAACTATGTCCTTGGGATGCAGCAAGCTTAACCATAAGTACAATAAGCCCCAGCATTTGCATGGTAGTCAAGCTCATTCAAGCAAAACTCTCTCCAGTAGGGAATTTCCCCTGCAGAGACCATGTGCATTTTTATTTCACTTGTCCTCAGACTGACTCTTTGTTCATTATAATAGTAAAAAACACATCCCTGGGTGGAGATTTAGAGCTAATAAGACATGCGATGTATGAACAAGCATGTAAAGCTACTGCACATGTGCAGCCAAAGAACCACCCATAACATGCTTACCAGCAACACTCTTTCCCACCCCCTTAAGAATAACCACGGAAGGCTCCCATAAAGAGGTCTCCCTGGTGCCAGCTTTGCTGTCTCATCCTTGAAAGCACCCTACTCCGAATCCTCTCTAGGGGTGTACTGTCTATTCTGCATGTAACTTTCAGAATATTCTTTCTCCTTTGCAACAAATTGTTCTATGTTGCATCTCCTTTGCTGTGTGTCTCTTATTTAAATTCTTTTAAACTAAGAAGGTAAGAACCAAAGTTTCACAACAAGCATCAACACCACTATCTTAGAACCAGAAAAACCAAAATGTGTCTCAGGAGCAGTATCTGAAAATATAAAGGGAAGAAAAAACAACCAAACTAAAAATTAACTTTTCAAAATTTAGCATGGAAAGCTAAAAGATGAACTTTTTGTTAGGTAATAGAACCCATGATAGGTAAAGTTATAAAGCCTAGGTTTGCTCTATCAATATGAAATTCAAATCTCCGAAATGATAAATGAATTCAAAAATTGGTTCTAGACCAATAAATCCCCCAGACCACCTGGAAATTAAAAAACACACACACACAAATAAACATAAAACACTTCATAACCACATGTCTATAACCAGGCTTTCTGGGACCAGACACCTTGAGAATAAAACAATGACTATAAACATAAGCTTAAAATTTAAAAAAAAAATAAACCACAAAGCACATGAGGACATGATCCTCCATAAGGAAAATATTGACAATCAAGAATATTTGATCCCAAAGTACTTAAGATAATAGAAAAATTAGACTCTATAAGATAGTATGTTCAAAACAAATACGGAGATGAAAGAAGAGAAAATACGAGAGAAACTGTATGGGAGACTATGGAAGAGAACTAGCAACCTTGAAAGTTACACACACACAATTTTTTTAGAGAAATTAAACATTTGATGTGTTGACACAGCTGGAGATTGAATTGGGGAGCTGGAAATTAAAGCTGAGGAAATACTAAGAATGAAATACATACTAATAAAACGATAGAAAATATAAAGCAAAGCTTAACAAATATGGATGATAGAGAGAGCTAACACATACTTAATAAATGTACTACTACAATATTAGGGAGAATGTTGAAGAGTCAACATTTGAAATAATAATGTCTGAAGATTTCTGGAATTGGTGAAAAGTGTAAATCCTCAGATTAAAACTGTGCCCCAACACAATCAGAATACACACACACACATACATATTTTATTTTTATTTTTATTTTTTCTTTGTTCCTGTTTTCAGCCAGTGGTCGGGCCAGGGATTCCCTGGTGGCCCATGTCACCCAAAGAACACAGGGACACCCAGCAGACGGCGACTTTTCCATAGGGAGTCTGAGTGGGAAGAAGGGGGCCTGAGTCAACTAGAATGGGTTTTTGGGACTTAGAAAAGGGTGACATCTCCTCAAAATACACGACAGATCCCTTTCATGGGATGAAGGAAATGCTGTCTGCCATACTACCACAAACTATGATAAGGCCAGAAGGGGCACAGGGCAAGCCAGCACTCATGAAGGCGGCCGTGCGCACCATGCAGGCAGTACAGAGCTCTTCCCTAAGCAGGACCTACAGCCCGGAGTGTGGCCACAGCCCGGAGCAGCGTTGGTGCAGGGACTCCAAGAGCAGCCTCCCTCCAGGCTCATTCCTGCTGCACCCAAAGCACAGGCTGACTGGTGTTCTCAGGTCTATACATATGTATATATGTATATACATGTATATATACACATATATACGTGTATATATACATATATATATGTGTATATATATATATTTAGACAGGATTCTGTCACCCAGGCTGAAGTCCAGTGGTATGATCATGGCTCACTGCAGCCTCAACCTCCTAGGCTCAAGCAATCCTCCCACCTCAACCTCCCAAGTAACTGGAACTACAGGCACTTGCCATCATGCTCAAGTACTTTCTTTTTTTATTGTTTTTTTTTTGTAGAGGTGAGGTTTTCCTATGCTGCTCAGGCTGGTTTCGAACTCCTGGCCTCTAGTGATCCTCCCACCTGGACCTCCCAGTGTTGGGATTAGAGGTGTGAGCTACTGTGCCCAGCCTCAAATAATATTTTTTTTAAAAGATTAGCTTGATCTGGAAAGAAGGAAGAAAGAGAAGCATAAGACCCAAAAAAGTTAGTATAGTAGGAGCAAGGTTCTATTTTTGTGTAACAAGTTATTACAAATGTAGTGGCTTGAAACAATGCTGACTTATTTATCTCACAGTTAAGAGTCTCTGCTCAGGGTATCACACTTAAGGCATTGACTGGGCTGTGTTCTTATCTAGAAGCTCTGGGGATGAATTCACTTTCAAGAATGTACATTCCAGGTGTTGGAAGGACTCAGTTCGTTACAGTTGCAAGACTGAGGCCTTTGGACTGAGCTTTCTCTCTGTGCCTAGAGGCTGCCCACCGTTCCCTGCCTTGTGGCACCTCCTTTCCAAAACCAGCAATGGAGAATATCGACTGCAGAGAATCCTCTGCATGCTTTGAATCTCTTTCACTTACTTCTGCCTCTGGGCTCTAGATGCACTTCTAAAGCGGTGGTCCTCAACCTTTTTGGCACGAGGGACTGGTTTCATGGAAACCAATTTTTCCACAGATGGGAGGGTGGAGGGAGGGATAGTTTTGGGATGAAACTGTTTCATCTCAGATCATCAGGCATTAGAGTCTCATAAGTAGCACGCATGCAACCTAGATTTCTCACTTGCGCAGTTCACAATAGGGATCACGCTCCTATGAGAATCTAATGTCGCTGCTGACCTGACAGGAGGCGGGGCTCAGGCAGTAATGTTCTCTTGCCAGCAGCTCACCTTCTGCTGCATGGCCCGGTTCCTAACAGGCCATGGACCAATCTGCAGGGCGGGGGTCGGACACCCCTGTTTTAAAGGATTCACAGAATTAGGTTAGGCCTACTTGAATAATCCCCTTTTAATTACCTGAAAGCAAACTGATTAGTAACCTTAATTACATTTTGTCATTTAATAGAAAATAATAATAGGATTGATATACTATCGACAGCACAAGTTCTGCCCACATTTTATAAGGAGGGAATTATACAAGGAAAAGGGTTATTGGGGGTCATTGTGGAATTCTGCCCACCACAGAGGGTATTCTCAGCTGCTCACATGGAGAATGGAGGAATAATTGGATGTGTATGTTAGGGGAGGTAAGGACACTTGAGAAGGAAGGTAATTTGGCATAAGGGAATTTTCTAAACCAGTTTATTATGAACTACGATGGACAAAAATGTATAAAATATAAGTACAACCGAATGAATTATTATAAATTACCAAAAACTTCAAAACAGGTAATAGCCCACAACTCAGAAAACTTCCATATGCTCCTTTTAATAATAAACTCTTTTTCCCCTAAAACATCACTATCTTGACGTTTATGTTAATCACTTCTCTGCTTTTCCTTATTATTTCACTAAGTGGTATGCATGCATAGTAACTATGGTTTAATTTTATTGCTTTTCTTTTTAAGCTTTATCTTAGTTTTAAATGGATAAATAATAATTGTATATACTTATGGAGTACAATATGATGTTTGGATATATGTATTCATTGTGAAATGATAAAATCAGGCTAACATATTCCATTTTGTTACTTTTTAAATGTCTATAAATAAAATTATACTTTATTTATTCATTGCACCTGACTTTTTTCTATCAACGTCATATCCAGAATATCAATTTATGCTATTGCATGTGGCTATCACCATGTTCATTGTATTGCAACATAATATTTCATTATACAGGTATATTACAAATTATCTATCCATTCTACCACTTACCACTGATGGGCATTTGAGTTATTTTAAAACTAATACTATAAATGTTCTTACAAATGGCTCAGGGACATTATGCACATATTTCTCAAGTTTTTACCAGCGAGAATTTCTATGGCATAGGATATGCCTTTGTTGAAATTTAGCGGTTATTGCCAATCCATATTCTAAATTGGTTGACTCAAATTATGCTCCCAATGGGATGTGAGGGTCGTTTTGTGCGATACCCTCACCAATAGTTGGTTTTGTTAGTTTTGTTTTTATTTGTATTTTTAAACCAACTCAACAGATCTATCTTACTGTATTTTTAGTTTATTTTATTGACTAAAAATAAGGTTGAGAAACTTATCATATGGTTATTAGCCATTCGAATTTTATTTTTTGTTAAGTGCCTCTCAAATCCTTTGCTCATTTTTTCTATTGTGCTGATTGTCTTCTCACTGATTTGGAACACGTGTTTATATATCCTAGCTATAAACTGTTTGTCATATGTATAAGTACTATATTTACACCCATATCAATGTATATACACATATATATTATGTATGTAGTTTATGGAGGTAAAATTCCAACATAAAATTAACCATTTTAAAGTGAACAGCTCAGTAGCATTTAATACATTCACCAAGAGGTGCAATCACTACCACTAATTCCAAAGCATTTCTGTCACTCCAAAGTAAAATTCATTATCCATCAAGCAGTTTTCCCCATCTATCCCTCCCACAGCCCCTAGCAACCACCAATCTGTATTCTGTCCCTATGGATTTATCTACTCTGGATGATTTACATAAATGAAATCATACAATATGTGACATCCTGTATCTGGCTTCTTTCACTTAGAATAACTTTTCGGAGATTCATCTACATTTAGCATGTGCCAGTGCATCATTCTTTTTATGAATCAATAATATTTCACTGTATGGTTATAAAATGTGTTTATTCATTCATCTTTGGATAGACATTTGGGTTGTTTTTACCATTTGGCTTTTGTGAATAGCACTTCTGTGAACACACATGTACATGTACTTGTTTGAGTACTTGCTTTCAGTTTTCCGGGATATACTTGGGGAGGAATTGCTTATGTCATATGGTAATCCTATGTTTAACTTTTTTGAGGGTCTGCTTGCTCTTGGTTATATTTTACTATAAAATTTTTCCTTCACTCTATGGCTTACATTTCACTCTTTTAATCGTGCCTTTTGATAAACAGCCTTTCAAATTTAATATAGTCACATTTATGGCCAATAATTTTTATATCCTGCTTAAGAAATCTTTTCTAACTTATTTAGGAAAGTATTCACCAATATTAACTCTGAAGAGCTTTTGGTGTGGCTTTTCATATTTAGGTGTACATTTCTCCCAGAATTGATTACTTTCATATGGTGTGAAATATGGGTCAATTTTTATTTCTGCCATATGGATATCCAAATATACCAGCTCAATTACTTAAATAGAACATCTTTTCCTCCACTGCTCTGCATCACCACTCCTGCTATAAACAAGAGTTCATATATGCACATATCTGTCTCTAGGCTCTCTATCATATTCCTTTTTTTTTCATTTAGTCTTGTTTCCATAAGGCATAGAGGAAGAAAAAAGCATCTTTCAACAGAAGCAAGAATATGAGTATAGACTTAATGCAAGAATGACTCTTTTGAGGGTAAAGAAGTAAGATGCTGTTGCCTTTCTACTTAGTTCTTTCCATGGTTCTCATCTCACTCTCATCTTACTCAGAATAAAAGAAAAATCTTACCATGGTGGGATAGATTAAGTTGTTGGTCCAAATTCTCTACTTCACAGTGATAGAACTATGCATCCACACATTTGTGATGGTCTCAAGGGCAGCTGTCATTGACTTTAAGTTTTTCCAAATGACTTGCTTAGGCCAATGGGATATTAGCAGGTAAGATACAAGTAGAAGCTTGAAATGAGCTAGCATAGTTGCACTTACTCTCCTTGGACTCTGTGATATGCTATGTGAAGGACATGCCCTAGGTAGCCGCTGACCATTCAGCCTAGATCCCAGATTACACATACATGGAGCAAACCTGGAGCCAAGGCCAGCTCACCCACTGCCTGAAAAAAGAATCACCAAGCCAAGTCCAGTAAAGAGCAGATGACTCACAGTCAACCTGAAGACCTATAGCAATAACATAAATCGTTGTTATAAGCCACGGAGGGAATTATTGAAAAAGACAGTGGAATGATTAATTACTCCATTCCAAAAACATTTATTGAACACATTACAGCAGGGCACTGTATTAGGTGATTCATGTGATACAAAGCTGAACATCATTATGTTCCTTCTTTCAAAATGCTTGCAGTATTGTAAGGAAAAATTGATTATTTTGCTTCACCAGTAGGGACTGAGGAGAGTAATATTGGAGGCAGAGTTGGTTAGAAAGAAGTCTAGGCAAGAGATGTTGTAGGCTTTGAGATAGGACAGTGGCAGTGGGAACATATTAATCCAATACACAGCACACATCTACTCATCAGGCACTCTGCAATGTGCTGTCAATAAAAAGATAATGTAGATATGACTTCTGAGCTTCAGAAACTTACAGTCCAGTGGAGAAAAACAAGGTAAAGAGCAAGTGCAATAGGATTAAAAAATGCCATTATACGGAAATTTTCAATTTTCTATTTAAACAGCCAAGGAACCTTTTTATTTATTATTCATTCATCCTTCTAACAATAAATAGTAAATACCTAGAATATTCCAGGCACCATAAATTGCTGATTTTGAGGGATTAGTAGGAGTTCTTCAGTAAGAAAAAATGAAGAGGATGGATGGGTGAGGTGTTCCATATGGTGGATACAGCACTACAGAGACCAGGGGCATGACAAGGTGTGTTGAGCTTGTTGAAGGGTTTTTGGTTCAGTTTGATCTAAGCAATAAGTTCTGAGGCTGGATATAGGTTAAATCAAGTCAAAAAACATAAAATAGCTTTTCATTTTATTATTTTATACTCTTTTATGATAGTAGTGAGGTGTTGTTAAAAGATTTTAAAAGGTGTTGTTAAAAGATTTAAAAAAACTGTGGTTCCCAAGGATCATCCTGGTGGCAGCTCTGAAAGTTTCAGAGTCAAAATGGAGCCACTTTTGTTAAACAACAACAAAACCAAACAAAACCACCAAAAAAAAAAAAAAAACCTGACAAATAGAAACCCGGGAAGACCATAAAGAGAGGGTTCTCATGCAAAAATGCTTGTTAACAAAATCACGAAACACTCTGCAGAAATCACAAGTTTTGCACAAAGTTAATTGTAACCTTACACAAAAAAATATTTCTGGGAGGACTTCTGCCCAGCAACTGCCTCTCCAACCTCGGACTAGTTCCTCCCTTGTTATTGATCCATGTAGCCAAAGATAATTATCTGAAAACAATTATGTAATCCTACTCCGTTTTGCTTTAAAAACTTTTTTTCTTCTTTTTGCCTCCCTGAACACTTGCATAGTTTACTATGGTATGTGTATTCCCATTGCAATGTCCATTACTGAATAAATATCATTTTCTTTTAGAGAGCCTCTCTTTGTTTATTATTTAGGTTGACGCAGTTTTGAGAACGGACTGGAAGGAGAAAGTTTTAGAAGCAGGGAGACTGAAAGTGGTTGCTATTTTCCAGTCCTTTGGAGTTAGAGGAGAGGTAAAAGATAAAGTTTTTCTTGTGTTTGTTTAATTTATTTTTTAATTAAAACAAATGGTGGTTATGCAAGCACATTTGGTGTTATATCCACTTCTATGCACAAGAATGGTAACTGACACATTGTAGGTGCATGAAAATATTTTTAACAAGTTGATAAGGATAGGATTTGTTATGAAGTTATGAAGCACAATAAAATGAATACTAGTAAAACTCCAATCTATCCTAAGAATTACAACCTAATTAATATGACTGAAGCTACTTGCATGTTCGTTTCTGGTCTCATTCACCTACTTCCTCCACAGATAACTACTATCCTATCAATTTTACACATGCACATATATTTTATATTTATATATAATTTATTTTATGATTATACTGTATATAGATACTAAATATGTAAATATACATAAATATATAAAGAATGTATTATTTCACTTTTGACTCAATTTGTACATTAGAAAAAATAGTTGTGTCAATAAGCACAGGAAAAGGTGCCTAACATCATTAGTCATTAAAGAAATACAAATTATAACCAAATGAAAATTTCACACATGGTAGGGTGGCTCAAATAATAAAGCAGACAATAGCAAGTGCTGCTAAGGATGTGGAGTAAGGAACCTTCACATACTACTGGTGAGATTTTTAAATGATTTGGCCATTTTGGAAAATAATTTGGCAGTTCTTTTAAACGTTAAATGCAATTACCTTATGATATGGCTTCGCTCTGTGTCCCCACCCAAATCTCATCTTGTATCTCCCATAATTCTCATGTGTTGTGGGAGGGAACCAGTGGGAGATAATTGAATCATGGGTCTTTCCTTCCTGTGCTGTTCTCATGATAGTGAATGGGTCTCACGAGATCCGATGGTTTTAAAAATGGGAGTTTCTCTACACAAGCCCTCTCTTTGCCTACTGTCACCCATGTAAGAAGTGACTTGCTCCTCCTTGCCTTCCACCATGATTGTGATACCTCCCCAGCCATGTGGAACTGTAAGTCCAATAAACCTCTTTCTTTTGTAAATTGCCCAGTCTTGGGTAGGTCTTTATCAGCAGCAAGAAAATAGACTAATACACCTTAGGACTCAGCAATTCCATTTATAGGCATATATCCAAGAGAACTGAAAAATGTATGTCAAGACCAAACTTTTTCACAAAAGTTCATAACAATATTATTCTTAATATTCCTAAAGTACAAATAACCCAAATTTCTACCTGATAAATGAATAAACAGAATATGTCATATCCATATAATGGATATGACAGCAATAAAAAGTAATGAGATATTGGTACCTGTTATAACATATATGATTTTTTTTATTTTTTTGAGACAGGGTCTTGCTCCATTGCCAAGGCTGGAGTGCAGTGGCACGATCATGGCTCACTTCAGTTTCAACCTTCCTGGCTCAAGCAATCCTGCTGCCTCATGCCCCCAAGTGGCAGGGATACAGGTACATGGCACCACACTCAGCTACTTCTTTTGAAGTTTTTAGGTAAACACAAGGTCTCCCTATGTTGCCCAGTCAGGTCTTAAACTCCTGGGCTCAAGTGGTCCTCCTGCCTTGGCCTCCCAAATGCTGGGAATTACAGGAATGAGCCACTGTGCCCAGCCTCATATATATAAATCTTGAAAATATTATACTAAGTGAAAAAGGTAAGACTCAAAAGGTCACATATTGTATAATTCCTTTAAAGAAATGTACAAAATTGGCAAATCCATAGAGATGGAAACTAAAGTAGATTAGTGATTGTTAAAAGATGGGGAGAGAGAAAAAGAATAGTGACTGATAATAAGATATCTTTTGGGGACTGTGGTGTCCCCCAGTTCCCCCACCTCCCATTTATCTTTCAGACAGCTGCATGTTTTCCCCTGCAGGCTTGAACCCAAGCCAGGGCCTGGAACATTCCTAGGCACTGATAAAGGTGTTTAGATTCTTTCCCAAAACATTAAAAGATCAATCATGTTGCTAAACACATAGAAACTAGCCCCAGCCCTGAGCTACATTCCTTAAACTTCCATATAAACCAAGTTTGTCCAACTCATGGCCCATGGCCCACAGGCGGCCCAGGACTGCCTTGAATGTGGCAACACAAATTTGTAAACTTTCTTAAAACATTGATTTTTTTTGCAATTTTTTTAAGCTTATCAGCTATCGTTAGTGTTAGTTTATTTTATGTGTGGCCCAAGACAATGTTTCTTCTTCCAATATGGCCCAGGGAAGCCAAAAGATTGGACATCCCTGATACAAACTCCATAACCTGATATAAACTCCATATAAACTCTCATTACTGATATACCAGTTTAGAGCATCTCTTTTCTTGCTATCTGTTGCAAGGACTCTACAGCCCTCTGTATGTTAAGTTCCCATAATAAATGCTTTGTGTTATTCATCTTAGCATTTAGTGCTTCTTTCTTTGGAATCCCAATCAGCCTCGTCTAAAGACAGTTTGGTCATTTAGGGACATCCCTTGCAGGAACACCCCCACTGCCATTTTAGAGTAACTCTGGGCACAGGTTCAGCAGGACAGAAGAGGGATGATAAAATTTGCAACTAAAAAACCACTGAATTTTACACTTTTTTTTTTTTTTTTTTTTTTTTTTTGAAGCATAGTCTCACTCTGTCACCCAGGCTGGAGTGCACTGGTGCAATCTCCACTCACTGCAACCTCCACCTCCCGGGTTGAAGCGATTCTCCTGCCTCAGCCTCCTGGGTAGCTGGGATTACAGGCACACACCACCACACCCAGCTAATTTTTGTATTTTTAGTAGAGACGAGGTTTTCCTCATGTTGTCCAGGCTGGTCTAGAACTCCTGACCTCAAGTAATCTGCCCACCTCGGCCTTCCAAAGTGCTGGGATTACAGGTGTGAGCCACCACACCCAGCCTGAATTGTATACTTTTAAAGGGTAAATTTTACAGTATGTGAATTATATATCAATAAAGGTATTATAAAAATAGTGGCACTCTGTATTAGTCTTAAGAAATTTGTTAGGGCTGGGAGCAGTGGCTCACACCTCTAATCCCAGCACTTTGTGAAGCCAAGGTTGGTGGATCACTTGAGGCCAGGAGTTTGAGACTAGCTTGGACAACATGGTGAAACCCCATCTCTACTAAAAATAGAATGACCATTATGTAAACATACCTTATTCATTCATTTTCCTATCAATAGCATTAGTCTTGCATACGATTATAAACAACACAGCTACGAAAGTTCTACATATAGCCTTCCAAACTAACCAATATACATCAAGGATACAATCACAAGGTCATCAGTATACATTAAGTATTGGTTACTTAAAAAATACCACCAAATTGTTTTCCAAGGTGGCTGTAGCACTTCACACTCTAAAAGTATAGAAGACTGCTCATTGCTCCACACATAGAATAACAGTTCTTAAGTTTGACAATCTATTGGATTTAAAATGATATTTTCAATAAGGTGTACACCTTATACAAAAATTAACTCAAGATGGAGTAAAGACTTAAACATAAAACCTAAAACCATAAAAATCCTAGAGTAAAACCTAGGCAATACCATTCAGGACACAGGCATGGGCAAAGACTTCATGATAAAACACCAAAAGCAATAGCAACAAACGCCAAAATTGACAAATGGGATCTGATTAAACTAAAGAGCTTATGCTCAGCAAAAGAAACTATCATCCGAGAGAACAGGCAACATACTGAATGAGAGAAAATTTTGCAATCTATTCAGATGACAAGGTCTAATATCCAGAATCTACAAGGAACCAAACCAAGTTTACAAGAAAAAAAAACAACCCTATCAAAAAGTGGGGGAAGGATATTCTCAAAAGAAGACATTTATGCGGCCAACAAACATAATAAAAAAAAAACACTCATCATCACTGGTCATTAGAGAAATGCAAATCAAAACCACAATGAGATACTCTCTCATGCCAGTTAGAATGGTGATCATTAAAAAGTCTGGAAACAGCAGATGCTGGTGAGGATGTGGAGAAATAGGAACGGTTTTACACTATTGGTGGGACAGTAAGTTAGTTCAACCATTGTGGAAGACAGTGCAGCGATTCCTCAAGGATCTAGAACCAGAAATATCATTTGACCCAGCAATCCCATTACTGGGTATATACCCAAAGGATTTTAAATCATTATACTATAAAGACACACACACATATATGTTTACTGCAGAGCTATTTACAATAGCAAAGACTTGGAACCAATCCAAATGCCCATCAATGATAGATTGGATAAAGAAAATGTGGCACATACACACCATGGAATACCATGTAGCCATAAAAAAATAATGAGTTCATGTCCTTTGCAGGGACATGGATGAAGCTAGAAAACATCATCCTCAGCAAACTAACACAGGAATAGAAAACCAAACACCGCATATTCTCACTTATAAGTGGGAGTTAAACAGTGAGAACACATGGGCACAGGGAGGGGAACATCACATACTGGGGCCTGTTGGGGGGTGGGGGGCAAGGAGAAGGAGAGCATTAGGACAAATACCGAATGCATGCGGGGCTTAAAACCTAGATGACAGGTTGATAGCTGCAGCAAACCACTGTGGCACATGTATACCTATGTAACAAACCTGCACGTTCAGCACATGTATCCCAGAACTTAAAGTAAAATTTTAAAAATACAGAAATTAAAAAAGAGATATTTTCTATTCCTAAATTGTGTTTCCCTGATCACTAATGAAGTTGAGAATATTTATACATTTTTATTTTCCTTTAGTGTTTCATGTTCTCTGAAATACTTATTTTTCTATTGGGTTTTACATATTTTTATTCCTGATTTTTTAGGAGTTATTTAGGTATTCTGAACCATAATGCTTTTTAAATAAGTGCTGCAAATAAATCTTCCCAGTATGTGGCTTGTATTTTTATTTACTTCATGGTATAATTTAACAAACAGCAGTTCTTAAATTTAGTATAGTCATTTATTAAAATATTGTCCACTCTAGTTAATGCTTTTATGTTTTAAGAAATCTGGCCCTACTCAAAGGTTATAATGATATTTAATCTATGTTTTTCTGTATTTTTTCCCAAATGTTTAAAGGCTTGCATTTCATTTTTAAGTCTTTATTTCAGCTGAAACTAAATTTTGTGCAAGACATGAGACAGAAATCCAATTTTATTTTCTTCCAAATGTATGATCAACTACCCCATCACCACCTACTACACATACTATAGTAAGTTGCTATGCCTACTCTTCCAAACATTGAGCTTCCATATGTCTTTAGGGGTTTAGGGCTCTCTCTTGAGGTTATTTGGCCAATAAGTCAATCCTTGACCTAACACCATACTTGCTTAAATACTATAAATTTGTGTTATTATGATCCTAGCTCTGTTGACTATTGAGTGCTTGAAATGTGGATAGTCTAAAATGAGATAAATTCTGTAAATGTAAAATATATACTGTTTTTTAAAGACTTATGAAAAAAGTATATAAAATGTTTTTAATTATTTTTGTATTGATTACATATTGAAATAATATTTTCAATATATTGGGTTAAATGTGTTATTAAAATACATATTATCCATTTGATTCATATCATCTTTTTGCTTTTAATGTGGCTGCTAGATAATTTTAAATTACATGTGTAGCTTGTATTACATTTCTATTGTGCACCACTGCTACAGACTTATAATATCTTAATATTAATATCAAGAGCAAACATCCCAGATTATTCTTTCTCAGGAGTGGGTTGCCTATTCTTGACTTTTTGTTCTGTCATATTAATTTTAGATTAACCTCATAACATAGCATTAAAATTCCTTTTGGAATTTTGATTGAAATTGCATTGAATCTATAGGTAAATTTTGGGAGAATTGAAATCTTTCAAATATTAAAATGTATCCATGATCATTACATGTTTCTCCATTTATTTAGGTCTTTTTAAAGACTGTTTAATGAGGATTAAAATTTCCTAGGTAAAGGTTTTCCATATCTCTTTTTATATTTATTTCTATGTATTTTAAGTTTTTGTTGCCATTTTAAATAGTATCTTTAGAAAAATTATAATTTTTCATAATTTCATTTTATTAATGCCAAAGACAATGAATGCTTATTGTAATTAATTAATACAGTATGGAACAAAGGAAGTTCATCTGTATCATACCATCCCTCCTCCATGAGGAGACTGCCACCATAAGATTTTGGTATATGTTCCTTCAAATTTTCTTCCCTGTTAACATACTAACACACTGGTAGTGTTAATAAAATGAAATAATATATGCAGAGTACTTAGCACATAATAAGTATGTTCAATTAATGTGAGTATTAGTTATTAGAAGTATTATTTAAAGTATTATTAGAAGTAATATTTGAAAGTTGTGTTTTTTATCCTTTAATTGTCAAGGATATGGAAATACAGGGGCTTTGCAAATTTATCTAGCCATACTGCTAAATTCTTTCACTATTTATAATAATTTACATGCAGATTCTGATAAGGTTTTCTGAGCTATGAATTGATATGACTTGATGACTAGTGGAATATAGTTACTAGGAGAGGTGGAGTTGTCTGGGATAATCCCAAGATTTCTTCATTGATTCAATAAACAGCAACTTTATCAAGAGTGGTAAAGGAAATACTTCTAACAGAATTTGCCATCACAGGACAATTTTGCAAAATACTTTTATTCTCTGTGCTTTAGTTTCTTCATCTGTAACAGGAATATACTAATTGTATCTGCCACATGAATTTGCTATTTTCTTCTAGAAGAAGTTTATTTCCTTTTTAGTAGCCCTTTCATTGTCATAAGAGTGCCTAAATTTTAAGCATCACATGGTACTAAGTAAGGCACCAGCTCTTGAACAAACTGAGCACTTGAATTGTTATTTTAAGAAGCACCATCAGAAGGACTCTGTATTTGAAGTGTCAGCCATAAGGAACATGATTTGTGTTTGGATTTAACTAGCAATCCCTTGCAAACAGGTTAAAGCTTTCCACATTTGTCACTTGGTTCATTGCAGGATGTGCCTGTAATTGAAATTAGCAAGCAACTTTTAGCCCCATATCATAGAAAAGCAAAATGTCTTCAGTCAAAGACCACTAGGATGTATCCCAAAGAGTCAATATCATTTCTGCCAGATTGAGATTTCTCCCATACACTTGTTCTGGGAAAAAGTTTCCACTTCAAACATGCAGTCTGTAAATGTCCCCAAGTTACCATATGTGAACAGGTACTGCTGAATTTCATTACTCTTGAATATTCAGCCAGTTTCTCTCTCATTTTTATTCTTGGTTACCTTTCAATGTCATATTCTGTGGGTTATGAAGTTCCAAAAGCATCTTAGGTTTCCTTACGGACAGAGATCTAAGAGATTCCTAAGGCCACTCAATACCCCTCACACCCTCATTGTGGCCCCAGGCCCTGAATTTCCTTGTGTGAGATCCTTAGGCCAAAACATGGTAATCCACTTGTGTCCACTACACTGTTGGCTGCCTTCATGACAGGACCTTTTCAAAAATGGAAATCTCAACACTTAAGCCAAATCCAAGCCTTTGTTCTCTAGACAGTTGGAACCCATAGTGAACACATTTCTTCCATCTACTTCCTGCAGAACTAGCTCTCCAGCACAGCAGCAGGTCTCTGTGCCATTTCTATTCTGCAGCAGGAGACTCTGGGACTTTTCTGGCTTTGTTTTAAACATTCCAATGGTCTTAAACTATGGCATCTGGAAACAGAAGAGGCTTGAAGAAAGCAGGTGGCATAAGTGAAATTACGTACCTTTATATGCTAGATACTTTTTTTTTTTTTGAGACAGAGTCTCACTCTGTTGCCAGGCTGGAGTGCAGTGGTGCAATTTCGGCTCACTGCAACCTCCACCTCCCAGGTTCAAGCGATTCTCCTGCCTCAGTCTCCGAAGTAGATAGGACCACAGGTGTGCACAACCACGCCTAGCTAATTTTTGTATTTTTAGTAGAGACAGGGTTTCACTAGGTTGGCCACGATGGTCCTGATCTCTTGACCTCATGATCCGCCCATCTCAGCCTCCCAAAGTGCTAGGATTACAGGCTTGAGCCACCATGCCTGGCCAGAGACACATTCCTACTGTGTCTCATTCCTACTGAGATTCCTACTGAGTCTCAACAGGAGACTCATTTCCCAGAGGGAAGTGTCCATCAGCTAACGGGAGAGATATCAACCAACAAAGGAAGCCCTGGGTTTCAGAGGACAGCAGACTCTGTCATGAAGGTGTTCTTTCTCGGTTCTCCCCAACCTCCTTTTCAAAATCTTCAGACATCTTTTATCACTGTCTTTCATTGTCTGAAAATCCTACAGCCCCTGTAGCTGGCACCCCACAGTTAACTATTATATTGTCTACAGATATACCATTCTTTGCTGGCTCCAGAGATGAAATCTTGTTTCCTGTTTCCAATCTGGGTAGAGAGTGGTCAGACCAGCTCAGCTGCCCTTTCTCTATGTTGCAAATATGTAACAATATTTCCCATTGGTATAATGATTTGCTTCCCTAGAAGTCTCTGTCACTTCTGTTTTTTTATTTTCAAAACAGGCGTGCAGAACAAGCCATATTCTATTTTTAAAGAAGAGAAAACTGATGGACATACACCCTGGTGATCTATCCAAAGGTTTTCATCTAGTTAAATAGTAGGAGCACAAGACCCCATAACCCCATTCATTTATCCAATGGTATTTTTTACTGTAACGTGCTGCCTCTCCTTGTAATGATTGATTTGGCTGACAAACCTCAGTCTCTGAATGAGTGATATGAACCAAAAAGCAAATTATCGAGAGCCATGTGTCTAGCCCTGACTAAGCCCAGCAGAGCAGATGCTGATTTGCTGGAGACAGTTATAGTGTCATTAAGGAAACAGGATTTCACATCTGGAGCCACCACAGAATCACATATAACCATCGACAATATAATTGTTAATTGTGGGATGCCAGCTCCAGGGGCTGTAGCATTTCAGACAATGAAAGACCATGATAAAAGATGTCTAAAAATGCTTTAAGCTGATCTTGAACAATGGGAAACACTTGGAAAGTCAAAGGTGACATAGGTGGACAAGAGAACAACAAAATATGCAAAGGAAAGTCGTCTTGGGACTAGAGATTGGTCTGCCCTGCCACTTCCCCTATAGTTTTGTCTTCAAGGCCTCCCATGGGGCTGGAGGAAAGAGCAGGCAGTCCCCATCCTCAAGTGGAGCTCACTCCATCAAGCAGTGCATCCGCTGAGCATTGCTCTATGCTCAGCATGCTGCCAGGTGAAACAGAGCCTAAGGAGGTGGAGGGCTAGAGGAGTTAACACCACAAAACCATCCAGTTTCAGTGGCCCAGTTCAAGCACCACTTGCTTGCATTCTGCCCAGAAAACCTGACAGTTTAAATCCTTTATCTCCCTCAAATACGTAACATAAACACTTTCATGAAAGTGAGTTCGCCATGGAAAATAATCTTTTCATCTTCTATTTTTGTGTTAAAGTCATTATTTCGAACAACCATGAGTTGGGGATCTCCAAATATCAATCTAGGCATTTTTATCTCTCATAAACGATGTCTCTTATGTAGACATTTTGGACAGGGAGTTTTTTTGAAACAAGGATAGCTTAGCTGTCAACAGCATGTTGAAACTTCTCTGCTCCTGGATAGTGCTGAATAGCTCAGTGATGGCAAAAAAAAAAAAAAAAAAAAAAAAAACCTGAGCAATTGCACAGACTGCATTTTCCCACAAGAGCAGCCAGTTCTTAGAGGTTTTCTCCTTTTCCTTTGGGGGAAGTGGGGTAATGATGCCTCCCAGACTTCTCTCTGCCTCTTGCTGGTCATTCCCTCCCTTGCCTGCTCTCCTTGCCCTTAATCTGACCCCTTAACCTTGGCTATTCTTTCTTAAAGCTCCAGCCTAGACAAAGAAACAGACACACGTTCTCCTATAGACCTGCAGTTAAAACTCCTAGAAAGATACAAACTTACCTCTTTCCAGACTCCAATATGACACTGCACAATGCTTTGAAACTTCTCACCATTTTCAATTTCGTGTTAAACTGTAGGTTTTAGAAGGCACCTTGAACAGTTTTATAAGGCACTTTTAGGCACTGCCATTAAAACTAATTGAGTTATCATTAAAAGGAATGCCTCTGAAGCAACAGTCACGCCCTTTTTCTCTAGAGTAGCTGATTGGCTCTAGGCTTAGCACTTGCTTCAGAGACAGGGCTCACACTGTTGCCAATGCCTTCCCCTCTAGCAAATCGTCCATCTATAACACAGCATCCAGCATCCGGTGTGCCTTCTTGTCTAGTAAGATTTTTACATTACACACACTGTCCTAATGCCCTATGAGAAGCTTGAAACTGGATTTAGATGGGGATTTTTCTTCTAGACTTCTATTTCATTATTATTATTATTACTGAGAGCAAGGCACACTAAGTCTGTGATTAAGTAGCTTAAAATTTATTTTTCTTCAAGGTTCACCTTATTGAAAAGATTTTGTTCTCAAGTTTATCTTTGAACTGAGAAATGATGTTCTGAGCACACATGTTGGTTTAATGGCCACTCTGTGTAACGCTGGACACTTGGACAAGCCACTCCACCTTATTCTTAACTCAGTACATAGGTTCCCTTAGGCCCCCCTAACCCTACTTTCTTTCTTTGTCCTGATAGAAAAAAACAGAGTACCCTGACCATTCTGTGGCCTGGCTAGCTACATGTTTTCTCCTGCAGGCTTGAACCCAAGCCAGGGCCCTGAACATTCCTAGGCGTTGATAAACTTGTTTAGGTTGTTACCTGAAATACAGAAAAATCAGACATATTGCTAAACATGCACACTGAGCCAAATTCCTTAAACCTTTATATAAACTCCGTGACCTGACCCCTTCATTGTGGACATACCTGGGTAGAATAGCTCTTTTCCTCCTGTCTGTTGGGAGGACAGCTGCAGCAAACTGTATGTAAATCCCCTTAACCAATGACTTTGACTCATCACTCTGGCATTTAGAAATTCTTTCTTTAGAACCCCAACTGACCCTATCTTGGGACAGTTTGGGGCAGTCTCTTTTGGGAATTTCCCTGTCACCATTTTTGGGGCAACTCCAGCCATGGTGGAAATGAAACACAAACAGTGTTTCATGAAGTGCCCCTTGGAGAACCCTTGCATCAGAGTCGTCAATTATTCTTGCTGAAATGCAGATTCTTGGGTTCTCCAACAGAACTGAATCAGAATCTTTGCTCCCAGCAGTGCTCCTAGAATTTGCATTTGTTTTTCAGACTCCCCAGGTATTACTTGTAGACAATGAAATTGGCAAACCACTACCTTCACTTATAAGGGCACTGCCATTTATGGCATCTAAATGATTTGAAAGCACTAGTTTCAATTGAGACATCAGAGGAAGCAGTGTCTTGCCATTTTACTAAAAGCCCTTCTTCCCAGGTGAGCTTTGTCAGAACAACCTTGAAATGCCAACATGAAAAACGGAAGTGCCATTAGGCCCCATTTAGTAACTGCAGAATTACTGGGTAATTTTTTTTTCAAGCCATTGGGTACAAATTATATTTTCTAGTGTGTCAGCATTTTTTTAATTCAAGTTTCCACTAGTAATCTGTTTTGCTGTGAATACTGGGTAAACTTCATGCCCAGCAGCCAAAATTTTTGGATGCAATAACTCATTTACAGAATTCTCATATATTCATCAAGGAATGAAAGCATGATTTCATAGAATTGAATTTTAGAGCTCTTATGCAACTGAAAATTATATGGACCAATTTTCTCATTTTAAATTGGAAGCATTGAAGTGACTTTTCTCTTCCCATTTCCATCTCGGTCCCCAACTCATCACAGCCTGCCTAATTCTAAACATCTTCCTGCTCAAATGCCACATCCTTAGCCTTGCTTGGTCTGTTCTTCCCCTCCTCTGTGCTGCCTCAGCATTTTGTCTCAACCTCTTTAAAGCATATTACGCATCTGCCTGATATTGATTTCATTTCATTTATATTCCTTTTTACCCCTAATGAATCCTTGAAAACAGAAAACATATTTTGTTCATCTCTATGACTTATAGGCAATGCAAGGTACACAGTAAGTGCTTAGTACATTTTAATGGAAAAGACTTGGCACAGAGCAGCCTAGGAGGTAGTGGAGGAATGGATACTCCTATTATTACTGTTCATCACATATATTTATTTAGTTCTTACTATGCACCAAGCACTGTTCTGAGACCTTATCAACCTCAAATAATCAAAAGTGGTAAGATTTATTTTAAAGAGAGTTTATCCAAGTGCAAAGTTGAGGACAGCCAACCCAGGAAACACAGATTCCAAACAATGGCAGTGTTCCAAAGTGCAGAAGTTTGGAATTGTTTATATAAACAAGGCTTAGAGAAGTTTAAAAGAATTTCAACGTCATCTTCTATGTGAGGCTTAATGCATAGTTACAAATGATCTGATTAGGTGAGATGATCTTGTTTTTTGTTTGTTTGTTTTTTCAGGAAAGGTATATTTATTATAACATTGCACACTCAAGATGTAACTGTCATGGGGTCTTGGGTATCATCTGGTCTGAGTTAGGTAGAGGACAATAAAGGAGGCAGTTAATCATAATAAAGGTTGGAAGATTGGAAGTGGTGAGGTCTGGTCTCTGGTCTCTCCCAGTCCTTTATAGAACAGGAGCACTGAGGAGGAGAGTTAAGCTATAATCTGAGAAGCAACGTTGCAAACAGGCTACGTGACTCAGTCTTCAGGGCTTAACTTCCTGTTTGGCATAATAAATTTAGAGGGTCCTGAATTTTTATTTTCTTTTACAACTTTTATATGCATCACCTCACAACAAACTGCAGAACCATACGTTACTGTTTTCCTTGTTTTAGAAATGAAAAACTGAGGCAGAGACAGGCCTAATAACTTGTCCTGAATTATGAGACTAGAACATGAGAGAGCCCTCATTTGAATAGGGAAGTCGGAACTCAGGGACTCTGATCTGATAACCACTCTATATTGCCCCTCATACCAGAACATGAGGGTCCTCCTTCCACACGCATGCACTTCCCACTGTGTACGCCTCACCATGGCCAAACAGGGGGAGCTTGACCCCATGAAATGCTCAAGGAATCACACTCCGTTACAGGGTTAGAGGGACTAAATTTCGCAGCATGGACACAGATGCATGGCATGCCAAGAACAAGACATATTTTTAACATATCAGGTTTTTTATGACATGAACCAATAAGGCCTGAGATATGTGAAATTAGCTAAACAGTAATTGTCACAAGTACAAAAAGCATGCAGATACTTGTTTTGGTACCACTCCAGCAACTAATTTGGAAGAAAAAGCCATGAACAACCAACATACCTGTATTGAAATGCCAGAGTCTTTCTTGGAATATGAAAACCCAGCAAATCTCTATGGAGGAGACAACAAAAAAAACAATGCAAAAGGTAGGCATATGTTTGCCAGAATCTATATAAGCTAGCCACAGTTCAATCACTTAATCCCAGAACACTGGTAACTACTTGTTAGTAAGGATCTTAGTTGTATTTGTTTGATTTTCAGCTACCCAAATCCCTCTGCAGCTTTTGCTCTATCTCCATCTCAGCTGTTACCAGTTTTATTGCTTCTTGTCCTCCAATCATTCAAATCCGTCTCACCATCAAATAAGTGCTGGCTGGTAAATTAAGCCAATTGATCAAAATCTGAGCTCACCTGATGTCTCTGTGAGCCTTTAGCCAGCTAAATCACATTGATGTCTGTCTGCCTGCTTCCAATATCTTACCTTCACTAGAGAGACATCTCCACTCCAGGCTTCCTTGACTCACCTCAGCATGGCTATCACTCAGGTGCGTTCAATTCCACCTATCTGTTCTTGTCCAGTCCTTACAGCAACAATTATGTAATTTTACACCTGTATATGCTCCTTTTTTTTTTTTTCCTGAGACAGAGTCTCACTCTGTTGCCAGGCTGGAGTGCAGTGGCGCAATCTTGGCTCACTGTAACCTCTGCTTCCCGCGTTCAAGCGATTCTCCTGCCTCAGCCTCCCTAGCAGCTGGGACTACAGGCACCTGCCACGATACCAGGCTAATTTTTGTATTTTTAGTACAGACGGGATTTCGCCTTGTTGGTGAGGATGATCTCGATCTCTTGACCTCGTGATTCACCCACCTTGGCCTCCCAAAGTGCTGGGATTACAGGCGTGAGCCACCGTGCTCATCCCCCTACATGCTCCTTTATCTAAACCCTTCCTTTCTCATATTTATTATTGTAAAATATCAGAATATTGGGGATCGTGCAGACATTTGTCTGTTTCTGTCTCTCCCACAACAGTGTGGGCTTCTGGAAGTCAGAACCAATATCTTTATTTTCCTTCTTTTTAGCCTTGTCTTCCCTACAGAGTCCCTAATATAGTATCTTGCTTATAAAACTTGCTTAATAAATGCATGCCTAATTTAACTGAACAAAAATACAGAATCTAGGATATCTTCGACTTGAATGCTCATTGTTTACTTTTGCCAGCAGCAGCCTCACTTCTGGTTCTGTTTTGTTTTTTAAGAGTTTTTTTGTAGATTTCAAAATGTCCACAGTCCTCCATTTCTCTTTGTACTCATGCCACTAGTCATGTGAAGTTACATATTCTCTTATCAAGAAATGCAGTTTATTTCCCCTTCTTTTGATTCTGGGCTAGCCTTGTGACTTGTTTTGGCCAAGAGAATTTAGTGGGAATGATGGTGTGTGGATTCTGAACTAGGTTTCCTGAGGCCTTGCGTGCAACGCTTCTAAGCGCAGCTTCAGCTGCTGGAGGACTGGTAACACTTGTGCAGTCAGCCTAATGCCCTGTCCAACAGCCAGCCAACCCTGGAAGCATCACTGCCTAACTGACCTGCAGCTGACTGCAGACACACAAAAGGAATAAGATGAGACCAGAACTGAATCCAGCCTAAATTAAAAAGTAAATAAATGGTTGTTGTTTAAAGCCACAAAGTTTCAGAGTGATTAGTTGCACATTAGTTAGGTGATACAGATTCTGAGTTCTGACATCCTATTATATTAACCTCCATCCTTTCCAGTAAGCAAGAACCTACTACTGAGGCCTCAGAAGCCTTACTGCAGGCTAGACCCCCTACCCTGGCTCTGATTCAGCCCCCTCATGTTGGGGGTTAGAGAGACTGCCAATGGCCCTTACTGCTTTTGCTACCGCTGTTGCTCTCTGGGTTTATTCAAACTTGAGAGTTTTAATCTCATGTTAATAAATATGTGGCTGTTCAGGCAATTTGTTTGGGTATAATTATGCCAATCTCCTAGGAAATTACTGCCACCTAAGTTATTATAGATGCACCTTGGAGACACTGCATCTGGCTGGTTCTTGTTCAGTCAAGTGCTCCCTTGCCACAGACCAATATGTAATGCTCTAAAACTTTCTCTGTCTTAATTCCTCTGCCTTCTCGGGATGAGTTTTTCCCGTGACACCCAGCATAAAATACAGCTCTCGAGACTCAAAATGAGACAATATGTCTGAGGACGCACTGCAACGAAAAGGTAAGAGGCTCTCAGACTTAGAAGGACAGCACTAGCTTGAATCTCAGGTTTTATTTTTCTTTTCTTCTTATTGTCTTGAGAAAATGAGGCTGTTTTGCTTCAGTTGAATGCCCTGCCTCACAGAAGAATTGACAGAATGTTCAATGTCCACGAATTAGACGTCTTTGATCTCCAGGGACTTTGTGGAAATTCCTTTTCTGTAAAGCCTGTTTCTATTTGATCCTTTGAAGAATAGTGACCTGTGGCCATAATAAAGTGGATAACTTACAAAAAAAAAAAAAAAGACCTTTGTGCCTCCAAGCCGTAGCATATCAAGGCCAGAACAATGGGAAAGGTCCACCACAGGTGTAAATAATAAAGGCAAATATCGTCTGTAGAGAATTTTAAAACAATAATAAAACAGACCAAAAAAACTTCAGCCTGCTTTTTATTATTAGCATGAGCCAGCACTTCTAAACAATGTCAGTGATAAGATATTCCCTTTCGTTGGGATCCCATTACCCTGATCTCAGTATGTCCCTGCCTCCATGTATGTATGTCCTCTTCAGAGGAACCCTGTAGGGAGGCTACAGACCTATCCTGATGAGTCTGGCAGAGCTTTGACCATTTCGGGAACCTCTCTACAGGAGCTGCCTTCAGTCATTCTTCTCGATAGGGAGAAATCTGTATATTTAGATGCTGAAAACAATTAAAATCCAGACTGTTCTCTGCTACCCCAGAACATAACCAGCAGGGATTGAAAGAGGTCTTGGCCCTCCCTGTGCATGGAGGTGAAAAGATGAGGGCATAGTCACCCTAAATTCCATGCTTCAAATCTAGTGCCCTCCCCTCTTTTCAGAAAACCTGTAACCCATATATGCAAGCTACACTGTTATGTAATTTATATTGTCTCTGATAGTTTTTGTTTGCAGTACCTAAGATGCATGGTTTTCAGACCAGCCACATTCCATCAGCATCATCTGAGAATGTATTAGAAATGCAAATTCTTGGGCCCCATCCTATGTCTACTGAATCAGAAATTCTAGAAGATGCAGCCCAGTTATTTATATTTTAACAGGTCTCCTGGTAATTCTGATGCATGCTAAAGTTTGTCAACTCTGCTATAGAACAATGATTTGTAACCAAAAAAAAATCAGAATCACCTGTATGCAAGTAGGATCATATTTACATACAGGTGATTCTGATACATACTCCTAACACTCAGATGCAGTAGAGCTGCGATAAAACCTGAGTATCTGCATTTTAAAATCTCCTAAGAGTTTCTCATAGAGACTCCCAGTTGAGAATCACTATTCTGCAGAAATGAGACTTCAAATAACTCTAAAATAGGCTTGGAAGAGTTGTTCCCAGGACTTAGTTGCCACAGACAGTTTTAACATAAGCTATGCCAATGGAGTAAGTGCATAGATTTGTTTGAAAATTATCTCTACTATAGCCAAATGTCTTGATTTCATATTTATACCTTATAAATAGGCTCCCTTCACAATTTTGTTCATTTGTCTGACACTTCAGGCTTCTTGCCTTTCTGTAGGGACTGACAAGAAGAGAAGTGAAACTGTATCAAGTGCCAAACTAGTTCCAACTCTTTGACGTGACTGACTGTACCACGAAGTTGTCTCTGTGTTGAAACCCACTACTCATACTTCAGAACCCTATTGAAGTCCCATGTTCTATGTGAAGTCTCCCCGAGATCCCTCACTTTGTTTCTCAGCACTTTTCTATCTACTCCCTCATCTGAGCTCCTGCAACACTTTGTTTGAACCATTTGTTGGACAACTTTCAAACATTATGCTAAGTGAAATAAGCCAGGCACAGAAAGACCAATACTGTATGATCTCACTCAAGTGTAGAATCTAAAAAAGTGGATCTCATAGAAACAGAATAGAAAGGCGGTTACCAGAGGCTCGGGGGTGGAAGAGTGAGTGATGCGGGAAGGGGAGGCATTGATCAAAGGGTACAACGTTTCAGTTGGACTGGAGGAATAAGGCTTAGTGATCTATTTCACTGCATAATGACCATAGTTAATAATACTGTATTGTAAATTTCAAAATTGCTAAAAGAGTAGAATTTTAATGTTCTCATTACAAAATAATAAGTTCGTGGTTGTGTTAATTAGCTTAATTGAATCTTTCTATAATGTATACAACAATCAAAACTTTCCATTTTACCCCATAAATATACACAATTATTATTTGCCAATTAAAAATTCAAGGAAAGATTTAAATAATAGCAACAATAAAAGTAATGCTTAAATACTTTGATTAGGTATATACGTTAGTTTCCTGATCTAGGGTATAATCTCTTTTACTTAAGAGAGCATGTCATATGACTACAATCCCATTATTATGCTGGCCACAGAGGAAGTATTCAATATAAGCTTGTTGTTTAGTTGTCTCTACCTGCTATTTAAGTTCAATAAAATTGTGAACTCCTTGTTGATAGTGAGCAATTCTTCTTCTACAAGAAAAAAAAATAATTGGACTCTGGGGAAACTACATTGAATGTCTTTTTAAAATGCTGTATGATATTTTTTCCCATATAATCTGACAGAAAGCTGAAATAAACTTCTAGTCTCTATCTTCCCTCAAATCATGTAGAAGCCCTCTGTGGACCACGGATCTGTACCTTGAACATAGTGTGCATGCCAGTCGTGTACACGTTGTAATTTTATATACAGCAAGGAATCCACAGCATTTCTATAAGACAATTTCAACATGCACTGTCTTAATGCAGATAATTTTCAAATACTGAGCTTACTCAGACCAAGGAAATCAGCCTGCTGCTACCAACCCTACAAATTCACTAACATCATCTCCACCTGGATTCTCAAGAAACTAGGATTTCCTACTCCATTTATAGAATCTAGACCAATGTGTCCATTTATTTTTGTTTTTGTTTGTTTGTTTACTAAAAGTTGAAACTAAAAGTTAGTAACTTTTGAGTAACTGGCAGTCCAGTGATTGACAACAGAATGAAGTACCTCTTAAGTATGGTCAATTGCTACAATGACCATGAGGGCTGTGGTTCCAGGAGTGTACTAGGAAGGAAATCATTCCTGGGACTGGCGTCAAGATAACTTCAAATTACTACTTATCAAGAGATACCAGGGTGAGTGGGAATGTATTCCAACAAGGACACTTTCCATGACTAAAAACAAAGAAAAAGGGATGGCATCCTTCCACCTGATTAATACTGATACTCCAAGGGCAGCAGACCCTCCAACATCATGACCCCCACAGATTGTTACAAGGAATCAGGCATGAAAAGTAGTGTAATTTTATAAGTAGAAAATACAAAATTCAGACCACAGAAGTTAGGGAAAGAATGGTAGAATGGTCAACTTCTGCTTAAATGCAAAAAATGAATTTAGAATGCAAAAAAAAAAAAAATCATAAGAGACTGTTTCTTCCACCCTAACAAGGAAAGGCTGGACAAGTTAGAGCACAATGTTTTTGTTTTTGTTCTTATTCACTGGCAATGGGAGGACACAGAGAACACTAAACAAAATTTTTTAAATGGCAAGCCTTTCCTAGGGTGTTGGAAAAGTGTTTTTTTGTTTGTTTGTTTGTTTTGTTTTGTTTTGTTTTGTTTTGTTTTCTTTCCTAGTGAAGAAGCAGCAGCCAGGAGAATCCTCTATAGTCAGGGATAAGGAGAAACTATTGTAACCTCTTCTAGAGGCTGTGTGGAGACTGCCTTGACCAATTAGAATTCTGAGGTGCCTCAGTGAGTAAGTCTACAACTACCTGTCAACACAGTTGGGAACATGGGAAGAAAACCAAGAGATAATTCCTATAAGTAAATGAGGTCTTTCTCAAATTCAGGACATCAGTTACCAAGGACTGTGGATGGAGTGTAAGAATGGAGAGATATTTACTGAAGTATAGAAAGCTAGAGATGAAAATAGAGAACAAAGAGAATAATATCACAATAACCCAAAAAGCTGGCAACTGGGCTACAAACACAAAGAGACATGCAAAAACTCACCTGTGCTAAAATCCTAATTCCTCTGCGGATGTCAAAAAATAAAATAAAATAAAGCATACGGGTTAGATTAATTTAGCTCCCACAATAACAACCTAATAGATAATGAGGGATGTGCTTTTCTAGGAATAAATGATATTTTTGTCTTGTATCTAGTATTCTCTTACACAAAGTTGCTCAGATAAAAATAATGAAATTATGGATCCTGTAAGCAAGAAAATAAGTTTGTCAAGAGAGAAAAACATGAATAGAAATGGAGCTATAGGTGCTCTCAAATGTTAGAATTATCCTGCAAGGGGTTTAAAATTACTGTAATAAATACATTAAGATATCTTGTGAAAAAGCAGAACTACATATGTGAAGATATAATAAATCTCAGTAGAGAGATGGAAAATACAAAGAATAAAAGAAAGTAAATGTGTAAGCTAGCCGTGAAAAATACAATATTAGAAATTAAGAATTATTTAATGATATTGACAATAGACTGACAGTAACACAGTAGGAAAGAACCAAAAGACTGTAATACTGGAAGATATACTGAAATACAAAAAAAAAAAAGCAAAAATCTAGTGGAAAATATCAGAAAATCTCTGTTTAATTTTTCCACTACATTTTTACCCAGAGATGAACATTATTGAATAGACAATCATATGTGTAATTGGAATCTTAGGAGGAAAGGAAAGAGAACATAAATAAGTAGAAATATTTGGAGACATGTGGCTGAGAATTTTCAAAAACTATTGAAAGATTTCAACTCACATTAAATATCACTGAAACTTAAACAGGATAAATAAGAAGAAAATTAGAACAATGTATACCAGAGTCACACTGCTGAAAACCCAAGATGAGAAAAAAAAAAGTATTAAAAGCAGGCAAAGAAAAAAGGTATAAGGGCAAATTGGTACCAAGAAAACAAACAAATAAAAAACCCGGAATTGTCACCTAAAATAATAGATGTTAGAAGTCAAAAGAAGAGCATCTATAAGGGATTGGAAAAAAAAATCTGTAAACCTAGAACCCTATCTTAAAAATTAAAGGCAAAATAATGACATTTTTAGAAAGAGAGAGGAAAAAAAAACCATAATTACTTTTCAAAAAGTTTGCCTACAAGAACTACTACTGTTCTTGTTCTACAAGGCAAATTTCTTCAGGCTGAAGGGAGATGATAATGGATGGAATTGCAAATGAGCAACAAGAAATGGTAAAATTTGAGTAAGACATATATTAAATAACATTACTGTATCAATGTTAATTTTCTGAGTTTGGTATCATACTGTGGTTTATGTAAGATATTAACATTTGGGAAATTGGAGTGAATTCTTTGTATTACTTTTCTAATTTTTGGAAGTCTATTAATATTTCAAAATTAAAAGTCAAGAAATATTTTATAGGGAGGAACAAAGTTGGAGAATTTATAGCATTTGATTTCAAAACTTACTATAAAGCTACACTAATCAAGAAACTCTGATATTGATGTCTTACAAATAAATTATATCTATAAGTGATATAGGTCAATAAAACAACATAGCCCAGAAAAAGGGCCTCACATATGGTAAGCTGATTCACGACAGTGGCATGAAGGCAATTCAGTAGGGAAAATGTCATCTTTTCAATACATGGTGCCAGAACAACTGAATATCTGTATGAAAAATATATTAACTGCAATCCTTACCTCACACCATACATAAAAGTTCATTTTAAATGGATCATAAACCTAAATTTAAAAGCAACTCTACAAAACTTCTAGCAGAAAAAATGAGAGAATATCTTTGTGACCTCAAGATATGCAAGATTTATTACATAGAAAACCAAAAATATAAACTTTAAAAGTAAATAATTGCTGTATTGGACTTTACCAAAATAAAAACTTTAGATTTTTGAAAGATATGGGTAAGGAAATGAAAAAGCAGTTCCAAGACACAATGAAATATAATATATAAAAATACTATACGTATGTGGCAAAGAATTTGTATTGCAAATATATAAAGCATTCCCACAAATTAGCAACAAAAATTAAGCCATACAATAAGAAATTGAGTGAAACACTTGAATGAACACTTTATAAATAAAAGATACACATACGGCCAAGACATGGAAAGATGCTCAATGTCATTAATCATCAGGGAAATGCAAATTTTAAAAAATGAGATACTATTTTACAACCACTAGAATGACAAAAGTAAAATAAATAAATAAATAAATAGACTGAGAATACCAAATGAAGGTAAAGATTTGGTGCAACTGAACTCTCATATTGATGGGAGTATAAAATCACTTAAAAACTTTGAAGAACTATTTGTCAATTTTTGAAAAAGTTAACATTTACCAATCCTATCAGCCAACAATTATATCTCTTGATTTTACCCAGAATAAATGAAAATACATGTCCACAAAAAGACTCGGAACAGCCTTGTTGATAACAGTAAAAAACTGGAGATATGCCAAAGTTTTCTCAACAGGAAAACTGATACACAAAATCTGCTGTATTCATATAATGGAATACTATTTAGCAATGGAAAAGATCAAACTATTATACATTTACATGGGTGAATTTTCAAAACATTATGTTTAGAGAAAGAAGTAAAATGCAATGTGCATACTCTATATTTAAATGAAATCAAAGATAGGCAACACTTTGGTAATGGAAATCAGGACATTGGGTGCCTCTGGCTTGGAAAGAAGCACAATACATCTTTCTGAGTGAAGAAAATGTTTTACGTAATATTTTGTGTACTGATCACATGGGTTTATGTGTCAAAATTGATCAAATTGAACAATTTAGATCACTGAATTTTATTGTATGCAAATTACCTCCAAAAGAGAGAGGGAGGAGGAGAGGAGAAGGAGAAACAGAAAGAAATAAAGAGAAATGAAAGGAGGGAGGGAGGGAGGGAGGAAGAAAGCAATGGCAAGATGGTAAAGACAGATCATATGCTCCTATTTAGAACCAAAACAGACATTTTACAATTCATTGCAGCAGGATTGGCTCTTTCAAAGGCAAACGTTTACATATTTTTCAAGTTAACCCACAATTACATTTCCAAGATAATTAACAATTCAATTGCAAACCTTGCTCTCCTCACATATAGGTAAGTAGAATCCATAGAAACTGATTTTTTCTAATATTGAAGCTTTAAAAATCAGATTCCTAGCTGAATTTCGTACCAAAATGAGTGATTATTTCAAGGTTTGAGATTGTACACAGTAGGCCCTGTGCCCTCTCTCAGGTATCCAGTGGATAACAGCTTCTTTCTACACCCCAGCAGGATGTAGAAAGTTTCCTCAAGAACATGAATTCAAATGCCCTATTAAGAAGCTTCTGGAAACATCCTGGTCTAAAAATTAAAATTTCAGTCTCAGCAGGCTCTTTTCTTTCTCCTTTTCTCCCCTTAAGAAAAAAAGAAAAAAAGAAAAAAAAAGAAAGAATCTTATGCTCTTAGAGAGATGCCATTTTTGAAAGGAAATATCAGGTTTAATTATTTGGAGTTCATATACTGTATTTAAACTTCATCATTCATCCCTTAGCAGATAATAGAGTGAAATTAGGGGAAGAGTTCCTCAAAAAGAACAGGTGTGTCAGTAAATGAAAGTAATATTAAAGTTTTCTTTATTCTAACAGGAGAAGCAGCCACCTATTTCTCTAAGTTGGTTTTGTTTGTTTTTGTTTTTGTTTTTTTCTTCAATTTAAAATTTCCAAGAATGGCCACTGGTCAGTTTCTGATAATTAGACCTGGAGACTCAATAACTTCTTTTATTTTTCTCTAACTTCATTTATTTCTTCTTTTAATCTCTCAGCAAAAGGGAGGAGGAACCTTCTTTTGGTCATGTTTAAGTGAATGTGACACTGCATTGATTGATTGATTTGTTGTCTTTGGGAGACACAGTATCTATTAAGAATCTCTTTGCACTCTTTGCACCAGCCTTTCTCCCTGGAGTGGTAGCTAAATTCCAGGAGGTTTTTCCAGTGTCCTGAAATCGTTAGGAAGAAGAATCCTTATCTGAGACTACCCTATTACCTCAAATGGTTTCCCCTAAGATAGAAATTGTCCAATCTGGTCTTTGGTTATACACTTCTCTAAGTACTAGAAATTGGCATTTCCTCAAACCAGTCACCTGAGCCAGCCAATTCTTGCCTCTGCATGCACTATCTACACTACCTGTCTTTGGCTATATCCATCAACCCAGATGCTAACCTGCTTTTAGACAACCAGAGCTCTCCCTCAGCTAACTTCTGCTCCTGCTCAGAGGAAAATGTGACTGATTTAGCTGGGTTCCTTCTCTTTTTTCTTTAAGGTGGGAGGAGTAGATGGGTAGTTTTTCCTAACTGTATAAGCCCTTGCACCTTGATGATGGGTAAAGTGAGATAGTATAGAAATTGGATAGACATTTAAATGCAGGCTCTCAAAGATAGTCTCTGTGATTATACAGTTTAAGCAAATGAAGAGTATTGACTGAAATCAGAAGTGCCAAACGTGTCACACATCATTTTTAAATATGACATATTTACACAAAACATGTTTATCAAATGTGTATGATGTGCTAGACACCATCCTAGAAGCCGGGGCTACATAGAAAAATGGTAAGACTTAACCCCTGCCCTCTTAAAATTCATCAACTAGAAAAAAGCCAAAGAGTAGACTAGTGATTCTAGGTTTTTCATAAATTTGGGGAAAGAAATGGGTGCTACAGGAGCCCATAAGATAGGCCCAACTCTTGGGGGAAAGGAGAATATTCAACAGTGTTTCTGCATTTTTTATTAATTAATTAATTACTAAATAGCTTTATATTTCCATATAATGTGCTCAGAATTACATTGGGCATTGAGAAGTTCTACCTTAGAACAAAGAAATGGTGATCCTAATTATAAGTATCAATAAGACTTTATACATTTGCTAGTGGTTATTCCTGCTCTTCAAAAACAAATATAAATGTGATTTTCTCTATGCTCAGTTGCCCTCTGTCCCTCCTTTCCACTGAGATTTCTCAGCAGCATCTACCTGTGACACTCACTCAATAAAGAAAGAGTTGACAAAATTGAGAAGTTGGACTTTGCTTATCTTGTACATAGCCACACACAACAGCCCTCCCACCTCAGACTTAACCAATGTCCAGACAATAGTGAACAGCAGAGCAAAATGCAGCAATCCCAAATGTAAAGCAAACCCTCCTGCTCTTTGAGATGATAGGCTGCTTCCTCAGTGTACAGTCAAGGTTATTTTCCCAGAGTAAGACCAAGGCAACTCCTTTTTGGTGCTCACACTATTCACAGCTGCCTTTGACATCCCGTGGTGTCTGCTCCAGAGGTCAGGCTGCAACTTTCGATTCACACCATTTGATTAAAAAAATAAGAGACGTGTTGCCCTTGGAAATAGGCTGCAGTAAAAATAGATCAAAATATCCAGTGTCTCTAGGAATGTTCAGGTTATTGTCTCTTTATCCAATTTCTTTAGATCTATAAAGGCAGGAAGAGCTCTAGGTCTCTGAAGAAACTGTACAGCTAAGAGTAGATTTAATAATATAAACTTTTCTCCTGCACAATAATAGTGACTCACAAAAATCTGAACTCACAGAGCATTTAGGGTTGTGACATCCTGGGGAACAGCAAGAAGTTGGAACTCATATTTATCTTTCCATAATTAGACTTTGCTCGAACTGTCACGAGGAACATTGCAGCACTCCGAGACACCAACGGCATTCAAATTTGATGTGATGCTAAAAATGAAGGCAGGCTCCACTTCCAAGCAAGCTGATCAGTTTGGAGAAATATCCCCAAAGAAGGCATGTCATTCAGAGTGTTGTTAAAACGCATTGGTTTCTCTGGAGTCACTTCTACCTCTCAGGCATGCCCATCTACTTGAGATAGACAAAGGCTGCACATTAAATACCTCCAAAGACTTTTTTGGAGACAGAGATTCATGTGAGTGGTCATTAAAAGCTATGTCAGGGCCTCGTAAACATAGGCACCATGCAGAGTTTGCAGAGCAATCCATCCATCAGCAATGGTCCAGGAGGGCCTGTTCTAAGGGCAGTGAGAGCCACAGAGGGTCCTTGACCAGATGACTGGCATACGGAAAAGGCTGTCTCTCTTATGGAGATGGTAGGTTTGACAGCCGGAGGGGAAAACCTGTTAGAAGACAGTGCGATGGATCAGAGATTTTCAAGGTCCTAACCTAGGCAGGTGACAGCGGATGTGGAATGGATGACTAGGAGAAGCCTTGAAAACGAAATGGACAAGAGTGCAGTTAATGAAATGTAGGGGCTTGAACAGATTGGGATAGATCTGGAATCCAGACAACCACGTCCTGGAAACGAAGGAGCCCGTGAAAGAGTCAGATATAGAAAGCTCAGAAGCTAGAGCAGCCTACAGAGCAAGATGACGCAGAGGTTCAAGGTGATGTGAGAGCAAGCTGAAGAGCAAGGAGTCTTCAGGAGTCTTTGAGAAGAAGTTCTAGCTGGGTCACATAAAGGCCGCATTTTTCACTGCCCCACCTCAATCCCTCACCTCCCCTCCCCCACCCCGCCATTGAACTCCTCTCCTGTTAGTAACCACAGGTCTCAAAGCAGCTTCTGAAAGCCTTATTCTAATTTTTGGCTGCAGGCTCCTGTGCTGAATGTAAGGCAGGGCAGAAGAAGTCGGCTGTGCACAGAGCCATCCCTATCTGCATATCCCAGGCACTCCCAAGGGAGAAGCACAAAGTGTTTTGGAAATGTAAACATGTTAAGGGAACAGTCGTCTATCAAGGCCACAAGAAGCATTGTGGATCCACGAAGGCACAATTAGCAGCTGCAGAGATTACTGCCCTGGAAATGTAAGAGAGAGAGACACTTAACAAAGACATAGGAATGGGAGAAGAAAACAAATTAGGGAGGCAAAGAGCAGATTTTAACCTTTTATAGTGAAGCTTGTTTCCTTTTAAAGTTGGTCAGAGCTGATCAAAAAGATGCCTCAGTTAATTCCGTGTTGCAGCTAGGATTCATTTTATCCTTTGTGCTCACAACATTATCTTTCCATTAAGCTTATCTGCTTCGTCTATTGTCATGTCATTGCTTTTGCTTAATCTAGCAAATATGTATTGAATGCTTCCTGTTCTCTGGTACTCCGCCGGATACTAGATGGGACTGGCACAAAGGCAGGGTGAATACAGGGAAGTGGGAGAACAGCATGCGAGGGTAGGCACAGTGGGGAGGAGGGAAGTGCTGGCTCATGGTTCTAGCAAGTCCTCAATTCAGGGTTGGACAGAAGTCATTCTTAAATGACTTAAGTCATTTCTTAAGTCATTTCTTAAGTCATCACAGCAATTAAATGTATGATAGAGAAACAAACGATGGTGGGAGGGCAGGAGAACAAAATAGACATAGAAGTGCCATTGAAAAACACTGCAGCATCAAATAGATCAATATGTTTTGAAGATCCTCAGAGGTTACTGAGTGTTTTCACATCATGCAACGCAGGTCACAGGTAGTAAAACCCTCTCAGGGTGGAAAAAGGAAAGGACTGAGTCATACAATAATCCTGGCTCCTGGCATGAGCTCACAACTGACCTTAGCTAAGCCTCCTGAGCCTCAGTCTTCCCAAATGGCCAAGAAGGAAGGTAGTTTTCATACCTCCTGTCGCCTCTGACAACATTCTTAGTGGCATTCATCCAAAGACACAGTTCGTTTCATCTTTGTCACAGAACTTTTTCATTTTCTGGTAAGTGAAAATTTCATACGGTTCACTATCGATATCAACTCCTACCTGAGCTCACCCACAAGCAAAATCATAAATGAAACTCATCCTTAAATGTGCCTTCACTGCCCTTCAAAAATAGAAGCACTGCTAGAGTGAGTGGCCTATATGCATTCATCACTTCACAATGCAAACTTCCTTAGCAGGCTCTGGGGAAGGAGGAAGCACAGGAAACGGCAAAGGATGACTTCTTAGGTGGAATCCAGAAGCATGTTAAATCAGATATGACCTATCTTTGAAATATGTCATTTCTGAATTTGTTTGCACATATTAGGGAAGAGCACATTTTCCCGGTGTTATTTCATCATGAGCCTGATCATAGAAACCTTGAAAAGGAAATAAATATAGTTCAGTGAATCAAAGTGCTCTCTGACTCTCTCACACCTATTTGGTTTTAGGAAGGTGGGGCTCAATCCTTTGAATAGGCTGCCTTGAATGTACTTCTGCTGCTAACCTTATCACTCTAATGTAATTACTTCTCCATAAGAGTGTTTCAAGGACAGAGACCACATCTAAATCACCTCTGTATTGCTGGTGCCTAGCATAGGCATATGACACTGAGTAGGCACCCACTAAATACTTGCCTAGGCACCCAATGAACATGTAAATGAATAAATGCAGCAAGCGGGTAATGGCCTAGTTTAATAGGTCACCAATGGCTACTTTAGAGATTTAATAACATGTGCTATCGGATAGCACTCTGCCAAAGAACTCATCTGTGTGCCTCACGATTGTTTCTAAATGGTGGATATGTAATAGTAACAGCCATGATTTGCGCCTCACAGCATGCCGGTTTGTGGGCCATTAGCTAATTTAATTCTCACAACAACCCTGTAGACACTATCATTATCTTTATTTTATAGAGGAGATAACAGGTGCTAAGAGAAATAATGTAACTTCCTCAAGGTTATTTCAGGAATGTGATTTTGAAAATCCAGAGCCACCTAACTCCAAATCTTGGGCTCTAAACCACTGGGATATATGTCCTCTTCAGAGACAGCACAACAGGCTGGGTTCAGTGTCCCAGAATGTGCTACCTCACAGAGGGGTTTTATGTTGAAAGAATAAGAATAGCCAATCCAAAGACCACCAACACAGACTGCAGTCCGAAGTCTCTCATTGAATTGCTAGGTGACCAAGAGAAATTACTTTTTGTATTTAAGCCTTCTTGCTTGCAAATGATGCCTATTGAATTCCGAAATCTTTTTTCTTGAATACGATATTATAACTCTAATAAGCTATGTATTTTAACACAACTTTTCCCTCTATCAACTTTTTCACATCGGCTGCATCTCCTGTCACCATTCTTTGCAAATGCAGACGTGTTTTTCAGTTTCAAAAAAGAAGACAACAGTAAAATCTTTGAGCTAAGTGGAGTATGAAAATGAACAGGAAAGGATTGTTAAATGAGTTTGACGTTGGAGGTGACATTGCTAATTTCTACTGCCTCTTCTGTCTTTATGAAATTCATGGAATGACAGAATATCTGTCAAGGAGTGGCAGAATTCCCTGTCTTATCACAGATCTGTGCAAATTTAAAAGCTATGCGGAAGGTCAGTGAAAAAGAGGAAAAAGAAGGGTAATGTATGCCAGGTAATAATTGGAGCCAAAAAGAAATTTTAGTGGATTTCTATGACGCAAAGGGATGGACTAAGGAATTTGAAACAAAGATTCATTTAGAAAATAAAATGCAAACTTTCCCTTTGGCTGTAAGAATTTGGTAAATAACTAGTAAATTGTAATTGCTTATACAATTCAGTTCATAGGTCACTATCATTAAACCTCTCCTTCGTGCAAAGCACCGTGCTGGGCTGTGCTAGGAGGAGCTCAGAGGAAGTATTGGCTGCATCCTGTCCTTTAGGAGCTGACAATCTCACAGGTAAAACAAGGTCAAAACATGAAAAAAAACAAGAACAAATGGCATAAAACATATGATGCAGTATTGCCAGAATCCAGCACTGAACCTTACAAAAAGTAAATGTTTAAATAACTACAGAATGAAATTGAACTGAAAAAAGAGCCTGTGTAGTATCAATCCCAAGTGGTGAGGATGATGGCCCAGGGAGCTTTCACAGAGAAGGTGAGCTCACCCTGGGCTTTGGACAATGGGCAAGATTACAGATCTGTTGATCTTGAATATATTTAAGCAAATATCATCTAGGGTTTAAGACATCTTTACAACCCTCATCTGTAAAGCCTAGACAATTTCACCTTTCTCATCAAATCCAAATTGTCTCTCACTTGGGAAACTTCAAGTGCAAAATACCATGAGCATGATCAGTTGGTCTATGGGAATTGGGTGACAAGATGCAGAGGCAGATTTTTCAAATCACCGTTTAGTTAGACTTTCAATAGGTTCTTTGTTGATGCTCACTACATAGTTGCTGCTAGATGAAAGAATGAAAGAGTAACTCCTTTTAAAATACAGTACTTCAGAGAGGTTACCTATCAGTTTGTGGACCAGACTAGAGCCAGCGTCCATCCTTGCACTGGCCCCTCCCGGGGGCCAATCTTGCATCTGAGATCATTGGTGCCCTCAGGGCTAACTGCAGGGCAGGTCCAGCCAGAGCTGCATTTGCAGCAGGGACTCCCACCTCGGAGCCCCTTCCAAGAACCACAAAGATCAACCCAGCAATGGCAAGTCTGAATCCTCATAAAT